>NC_000010.11:10313030-10464545 GCF_000001405.40 Homo sapiens | reverse complement strand
TTTCACGTACGGGATTTTGGTCAATTAGAAAATTACAAAGAAGAGGCACCTCAATTTGAAAATTTGAGAATAGAATGATAAAATTATAAAGAAATGAATTTTTTTCCACAATAAAAAAAAAGACAAGTACTGTGGTTTGACTTGCGTTTAGCTCTTTGTAGCTATTTCTAGTCACTGATTCTATGGAAAGTCGCTAAGGAGTTAGTCGCTTGTTACTGGGCAACAATTTATTCCAATTATAACTGAAATGTTGCTAATAGACAGTTACCGGTGGATAAGAACAGACTTTAAAAATGAACTATTAACTCCACAGCATTTTCTCTTGTTGTAAAGAGGCAGAAATTATTCTAACAATTGACACTTTGTAATGTTCTAAGGTCTTTTTAGACATTTCAAGCGCTCTGGGGGCACCGGTGAGGACCCAGGGGCGGCATGGTTCAGAGCTGTTAAATATAGAGCGACACAATTAGATAGAATAGCTATAGAGACCCGAGACCAAATGTTACCAGCGTATGGAATGCCACATTCTCTATAAGATGCAAATAGCATACAACCTTCAAAATCCATAGGAGTTTTTTTTTTTTTTTAGAAAAAGGTTTTAATGGACATTTGGTAACTACATTCTGTTTTTGACAACCTCCCCATTACATTTCTAGTTATCTATTCAAAACCAAAGGACAAAAAATAAAAAAATAAAAACTACACCAGTTTACAAAGAACAATGGGGCGAAAGCAAAATGTATTCCTTGCTGTTTCACACGTGCTTTTAAAGGAAACAAACAACCAAACAAACAGAGAAATTGTAGTTCCTAAGTTTCTTGACCCAAATCCAAGCAGACTCATTGACAAGCCTAAACCTCTCCGTGTGTCTTCCTGCTTCTGAGGCTAAAATATGGATAAGCTCAAAGTTTGACACATGGATATATTTTCAAATGACATGTTTAGTGTACAAAAAAAGAGATGTCTATGTTTTTTTCTTCTTTATAACATTAAGATGTGATGTAAAATATAGTAGCCAGAGTTGCATTTTTCACATGAGCAAAAGTTACATGCAGAAAAAGAACAGAAGTTCGTTGATTGTAGGATATGTAACCTTGAGAACTTTATCTTATAGCCAACGGTCACACATTCTGAAATGTCTTAAGTGATCTGGTCAGTGCTAAAGGTAGTAAGAAAATCTGGTTGCTGAAAATTTACACTATCTAATTTCAGTTATTCCCCCACAACAGAGTAACAGGCAAGCACATTCTCAGCAGCCGTTCCAGGCAGAGTATACACAGAAATACTTGTTGAATTTAATTGGGTTGAATAAAAATTTGTCCTTTTGAGGAACAAAGTTAGCATCTCAAATACAAGGTCTGCAAATGATGTAGGTTCTTCTTAGTTGGCTAATGAACTCCTGACTAGTTACAGATGAAAGGGATTAAAATGACTTTACTGAGCACTCACTTTAGTCTGTTTCATTATCTGAACTAAGGAAGTCTAAGACAATTAGGATTCCTTAAAAAAAAGTTTCATCATTGCACTTCCTGTTTGATGAGTAAACAGCAGACTCGTTATGGTCTGCAAGGTACCTATTAAAACCCGTAACATCCCTGGAAGGAAGTAACTTGGAGAAAGTCAAGAAATCTTTCTGACAGGACACCGCAACTCCAAACAATCAACAACTCATTGTCATAGTGCGACAATCTTAGCCCTGTTGCAACTGGGCAAATAGTCCATTTGCAGAGAGAAGCATCATCGGGGTAGACAGGAATGCTGTTATTAACCATTATAAGTATGACGCGAAGGTCGTACATCAGGCTATTACACCTTTTCATTATACGCTAACCCCTCACGGCAGGGAAGCCACGCTTATGACTGCATTAGACAGACAAAGCCTTCAGCTCTTTAAAAAAAGAAAAAGCAAAAAAAAAAAAAAAAAAAAAAAGATGAAAAAAATTAAACTCGTTTTCTTACCAGCACGTTGCAGCACCAACTCGCTCACAGGAATGTTGCCTTTTACAGGTTTCTCTTTTAATTATCCTAGAAGCAGGGAGAGAAAAAAAAAAAAAATCAAAAAAAAAAAAAAAGGCAAAGAAGAAGCAGGGTGGTTAAATTAGCGTGCTGGAATCTTTTCAGTTTGTCGCAGAGTAGAAAAATAAAAAAAGGAAAAAAAAGGCTCAGTAATTTAAATTTGCTCTCAGTTCAGGCTGCAATGCTGGGTCCCGCCCCTTCTTCCGGCTGGGTTCCACTACCTGCAAGGCTGGAACTGACAGCCACTGTGCAAACAAAAAAAGGCAACAAGCATGCTGGGACCATTCTGTCTGCTGTTTGGGTCTCACTTGTCCTGACAACTAAAAATCATCAGTGGAAAGGTATTCTACATTTTTTATTTGAGGTATTTTATTTGAGGTATTTGCATGTAACTCCCATTCATTTTAATTGATACACCATAGTACATGATGTTGGGTTTGATTTCTGTTTGGGGTGTAATTTTTTTTCTTTTTCTAAACATCTATAATTATTAACACTATTTTTACTATGACAGTTTAGTGACATCTTGTGCATTTCTTACTGTTCCTGTCTCCTGCTCCAAAACACATTCTTTCCTGTCTTTTCCTTTAATTCCTAAACACTGAAATTTCTGGGAATATAGAGATGGAAATACCAAGATTAGTAAGGTTTCCACTTCTGCTCTGACTCTTTCTTTTTTTGGGGATGGTGGGAGGGCTACAGGGAGGTGCATCATACTAAGAATAGTTTAAGGGACAGAGGGCCTAGGATGAAGGTCCCATCAACCCCAGAAACTTCTAGGAAGGATGAAATATTCAAATGAAAAAGTCTCCACAACGAAATGCAAGAAGTTTATTTTCGTATTTATGTATTGTGCAAATAACTAAAAATAATGGAAATAAACTTGGTCTCCATTGCCAATTTTACCTAAGGTGTCTCCTATAGAAAACCGCTTTAATTTTAGCAAGAAAAACCTGATACTTAACGTGCAGGGTATTGCGAGTGTGTAGCAGAGGAATTATGAAAGAGAATAAACCCCATCCTTCTTCTGTCAGGATGTAAATTGCTTGTGCAGAATTTTCAACAAGGTTTTTTTTGTGTGTGTTGTTGTTCTTTTCTAAATGCTCTTTTCAGACGAGTGTGTTAGCGACTACTTCAGTATTAAAGCTATCGGAAGACTGTTGTAGTAGGGAACATCTATAAAGTTGCCTCTTGATCTGAAGCACTGCTTTTATGAAGGTTTATGGCATTGGTGCTCCTATGCAAGTCTGGATTTTTCTCTGATCATCCGACTACCCTAACTTGAGAGGACCATGCTGACTGATGTGTCATGTCCCATAGCTGGGGGTGGGTTGCTAAGGAGTAAAATATATAATTGTACACAGTTCTTCAACAGTGGCCAAAGACACAGAAGAGAGTTACTCTTGATAACATGATTGTGCTTAATCTACTTTTTAAAATAAACTATTATTTACCTCTTATCCCTACCTCAAGCCATTTAAATGGATTTCACCATTTCTGCACAACTTGCAGAACCTCTTAAATTCAAGGACGCACTGCTTTAATGCATTTCACTTTTAAAAATCAGACTTTCAAAAGATAAATGATTAAAAATGTAATTTAAATAAATATGAGTTCACTTTTTAAATTGGTAAAAATTTAGCTGTCAAATATTTGTTCTGTCATTTGAGGTCTCATCAAAAAACCAAACCAATTAAAAATGGAAAGGTCTGAGATGCACAGAGTGAAACTCCATCTTTGTCTTGTATTATAACCTTTACCAGGATTATTTCTCTACTACTGTTCAGCAATGAATGCCTTTGCTCACTTCCTACTAACAGCTGTAGCATAGAAAAAAAAAAAGGGCAGGTCAAGTACTCAAGAAGCCATGTTAACTTCCCAAATAGTTATGCAATCAGCTTTAATGAAACAGTGGTAGATTACACCAATGTGCTAATTATAGGACTTTGTCATAGCATAAGATGCAACGAAACAACCCATGCCTTGGCTTGGAAAGTGCTATGCATAGATTATTTCAAAAGATTTAATTGAAGAGAGATTTTATTTTCCTGAAGCATTCTACAATTAAGTGGCATTCTTTCAATCCTTTCTCTTTTAAGACTAGTTCTGGACAAAAAAAAAAAAAAAAACAAACCTGAAAATAAAGTAATGACTTAAAAAATATCTTACTACAAATATGACTAATTTGCCAATATTAGTTACTTTGGTATAATTTTGAACATAACATACTTAGAACATGTTAGGGAATATCAAAATATACAGAGTGGCACATACTGGTTTATATTCTGAATGTCTATTTTAAATGAAGAAATAATACTTTTATGTTCATCAATGTTTATTGAGTTCAGTTAGAAAAATATTAATTTTTTAAGAGACTGAGTCTCACTCTGTTACCCAGGCTGGAGTGTAGTGACATGATAATGGCTCACTACAGCCTCAAAATCCTGGGCTCAAGCCTTCTGTGAAGGTGGGGCTACAGGTGAACACCACCATGCTTGCTAATTCTTTATTTCATTTTTTGTTGAGATAGGGGCCTGTGTTGCCCAGGCAGGTCTCAAACTACTGGTCGCAAGATAACTTCCTACCTCAGCTTCCCAAAGTCCTGGGATTATGGGAGAATGTTAATTTGAATTAAAATAAAATAACCCTGACATTAAACTTAAGAGAAGGGACATTTTTGTTTGGCTAATGTCAACTAGGTTTTAGCAAATGTGTGAGACATGTGATTCCACTAGATATTTAACCTATTATTTCAGAGAATTTTACTTGGTGCTGGAGAGATTAAGCAATATATTACATATCTCACAGCCATACTGGAAAAAAAATCCACTTCAAAAATAAATATCCCACTAAATTGTTAGGGCATTCTGTGGAGTGATACACATTTAGGTGGCTTTCACATCATGGAGATGTGTTTTAAAGAAATACACTGAACAAGTTTCCTGGAGATATATTTTAAAGAACTTCTTGGAATTGGCATATTGTCATATGCTATTTAAATTTTCATGCTCAGAGAAAATATCGAGGTGGGAAACGCTAATTCATTTTTTAAAAGCTGTATCAAATCAATACATCTTAGTCTTTCCAGTTATAACTGATAATTAAATATCATTTTCAAACTTCTTGCATATATTAAAATTATTACTTTTTGATAAATGTATTCCTCATTATGAGTCAACTGTCTTCAGTGTAATTTTACTGTTTTGTCTTTTGGGCAGTATCATACTGTCTAATAAATCATATGTTGTGGCTGTGATATCTTATTGACTACAATAACTCATGTATAGTTTTCCATTTTAAAAGAATTTGAAAAAATTGTTTGCTTATGTTGTACTGCTTAGCTATCATAATTAATTAACCCCTTTATATCTGAGTATTCAGAAAGTATTTTCTCAGTGCTGCCATAAAAATGGTCTTCTACTCATGTTTGGAACCACGTCCTCATCATTGAATCAATTGAAGTTTATGAAAAGTCTAATTTGATTTTTAAAACATACACAGACACAGAATTCTTGATTTTAAGGAGATGTTCACAATAATTTCTTTGTGACCACGTAGGTAAAGAATTGTGGGTGATATTATCTGGGTATTTAGATCGCAAAGAGATCAAAACAGACCCTGATATTTGGCCTAAGACAGAAGAAAGACCATGAGGAGGCCTTAGACCTCAGCAGGCCATTTCCATCTTACTGTCGTATTCTTACACAGACAGGAAAACGCACCGCAGATGAACTATGTTTTTCAACTGAACTCAATTCCGAAATACAAGGTAGCTCACGTGCGAATGGCCCACACGGAGAATCAATGTCCCTGTACCATTGATGCTGGGTCTATGTGATACCTGAAGTTTCATGGCATTTTATTAATTTCTATTTCTAAACTAAAAGTGCACCCTGCTCTGCTAAAAGGCACAGAAAACATACAGAATGTAAACCGAGAACATGGCATGCCACAGAAAGTATAAACAGAAAACCCTGACTTAGAGAGACATGTAAAAACTAGAGCATTTTACAGACACGCCCACTACCTGGCCAAACTGGATGCAAGAATTTGGAAGTGCATATTGGAAATAAGCGAAGTTTTCTTACAAGTCAGCTGATAAGAGATTTGACTTTGAGAACGTTTAAGCAAAGATGAAAGCTCAAGGAATTGCAATATTGAGGTGAGAAAAGGACGGCACAGGGGTGATGAGATGGATCAGTAGAACACATTCAGCGCTCAGAGAAGGGGGTGACTTCTCACTTGGGTAACAAAGTGGAGAGCAGTACACTCCCTGTGGGAGATGGGAAAGGGGTTGGCGATTGGGAGTAGTGAGTGATGAGGAGGTCAGTTTGTAACAAATCCACCTGAGAACACTGTTGGACAAAGTGCAGGAGATGGGATATTTGGGTCCAGCATTCAGAGAAGTTACCAGTGGAGAAGCAATGATGATCAGAGTCATGGGAGTACAACAGAAACCACAGAATAATGAGCTCTTCAAGAGAGCGTCAAGAAATAGAGCAGAATCCCAGGAACAGCAAAGAGGAAGCTCAGGTGAGAGATTAAGTGACTTGAGAGGTAAGAAGAAATGTGGAACAAAGTGAGATCAAATAATTCAAGCAAAAATGATCTGGACTAGACCAGGGCATCAAATGCTGCACGGATTTCAAATATTTATAATCTGGCCAGAATAGAATGGAAAATATCAGTAGGAATTAACTAGTAGAAAGCTATTACTAAAGTGATTTTTATTGTAATGGTAGGGGCAGTTGCCAGATAGCACTGGTGAAAACGTGAATTGTGAAAGGCAAAATGTCACGGCATTAACCACCACACAATTAAATGTAATAAGGACTTATTAACGATCTTATTGTGGTCCTACCTGGCCATGTAGTTTAATTTAGGTTTTACATAGGTAGTAAAGGATTCTAAACTGACTTCCAGCTTCCTATCTTAAAAGAGTTGACAATCTATTTGTAATGTATACAATTGCATTTTAGATTTCATATGACAAACCATTCTATTTTATATAGAGAACACCATGATATGATAGGTAAGACAACATACATAGCTGTGCATAATACATAAGTATCTCTTACTAATGTGTGGCATTCAACTTGGCAGGGACTATGTATGTGTATAATTTTAAAGGAGATTTAATGGCATACCTAATAAATAGGCTGAGTAAATGCTCGCTGGATCACTAAGTATAGGAATATAAATGACACTATAATGTACTTTAAACTTTCCAGGAATCAGACACATGTACATGTACGTTATCACTTCGAATGGTGACCTACGTAACTGTCAATACTGGTCTGAACTGGCAATATTCTTTCCTCATTTCAGGACTTGACTTTTAGTAGTTGCTTCTGAGTTTTCTCAAATTTGAATCTTTAGCAAACAATTTATAAGGAAGTGTAGCCCTCCTAGCCCACAGATGCTCTGCAAAATGCTCACTGACGTAGCTTCTGTTTTCTGATATTGTTAGTAAGGCAGAATTAAATGACTTGCTATTTTGGCATTTTAGCAAAGAAGTAGCATTTCATTCCAAAACTCAGAACTTCTTTTTAAGCCATTGGTGAGAAAGTCTTTTTTAGGGCAGTGTTTTGGCCCTAAACCATGATTTTCTGTACTTACCAGAATTTATTGAATTTCTCTCTTTTAGATCTAGAAAGAAAATCAAGAGGAGATGATAGGTGGGGAGAGATTATATTTGAATCCTGAAAATAATCTTCCAATATTTTTCTGAAACAATTTACCACTTTGATTTAACTTAAAGCCACTTCAAACGTGGGAATTGCGGGTACAGTTTTCCTGGACACTGAGTTAATTTTATTATCCATTCAGGGGCTTATATACCAGTTTGTTATACAGTTCATTTAGACAAAAGTTGAACAGTTGATAGAATATATTGTTAGGCCCCCTCTTGTTCTCCTTCCATTTTCCACAACATTACATAAACTTTCTAACATTATCTTTTTTTTGCTAGAGTTCAATATACTCTACTGTGGGAAAAACAAAAACAAAATAGAAACGAAACGAAATTTTTGCAAGCTTGTTGTTGTGAAAATACTTCACTCAGGCAGCCGGGCGTGGTGGCTCATGCCTGTAATCCCAGCACTTTGGGAGGCCGAGGCACGCAGATCATGAGGTCAGGAGTTCGAGACTAGCCTGGCCAACATAGTGAAACCCCATCTCTACTAAAAAGAAAAGAAAATGCTTCACTCTAGAATTTTGATGAGAAGGTAAGCCGGTATATTATCATAAAAAAAACTGTTTCATTTTCCAAGTCGTTTAGTCAAAATGCAGACTTGATGTGCTTAAATGAACTTTTCAATTCTGCACTCAGAAAAGCGCCATGAAGACTCACGTGCAGCTTCCTGAGGAATCTGTGTTTCACCCTAGAAGCAATGGGAGGCCACTAAGGTATTTTAAGCAGAAGCACGACATCTTTATACATATTGTTGAAAGACAAACCTTCCAGCAGCATTTAAAATAGATTGAAGTGGTGAGATTATTTCAATAACATATTACCCTGAAAATATTTTACCTTGCTTGGTGGCAACAGGATTTAGGGTAGTGTACAGGGAAATATGATTTGACAATAGAAAATATAATTTTGGGGGAAGAGGGAAAAAATAAGAATATAAAAGCAGAAGACAAGCAGGAATTAAATTAATATACAACATCATACTCTAATGTTGAATACCCTTGATAGAAGTAAGCTAAGCTTTGGTTCTATAGCTTCCCAAACAATGTGAAATAGAAAATATCATTAGCTGCATGCATCAAAATATCTAGAAGATGAAAACAAACCACTTGTTTAGGAGAATTATAGCTCTTTGACATGAGAAATTACAGAGGAATTTCTCTGCGTTCTCACAGAGAGGTACCAGAATGGTATGGTAAACAATGTTTGGCACACACATTTATATTTTACATACAATGGGTCTGATTTTGGTCTTAAAAGGACCCAATTTTTATCAAAGCTCAAGGTGATTATAATTTTAGCCTGAAAGATAATCAAACGTGGCCGGGCGCGGTGGCTCACGTCTGTAGTCCCAGCACTTTGGGAGGCCAAGGCAGGCGCATCATCTCAGGTCAGGAGTTCGAGATCAGCCTGGCCAACATGGTGAAACCCCATCTCTACTAAAAATAGAAAAACTAGCCGGGCGTGGTGGTGGGTGCCTGTAATCCCAGCTATTCGGGAGCTTGAGGCAGGAGAATCGCTTGAACCTGGGAGTTAGAGGTTGCAGTGAGCCAAGATTGTGCCATTGCACTCCAGCCTGGGCAACAAGAGTGAAACTCCATCTCAAAAAAGAAAATAAATAAATAAATAATAAATAAATAAATATAATCAAACACTCCACTACAGACCTAAAAATAAATAAAAAGGCATAGTAAGCAATTGAGTAATCAATTAGACAATATGAAGCAGTTAATTTCAGTTAGGCACTGTCCTTGTCACCAGAGATACAACTGGCAACAGGACTTACTGTGGCTCTCAGACTACTGGGGACACAGACAAGTTAACAGACAATTGCCATAGTGCATGATGAGTAGAAGGAGAGGGAAAGCGTAGCATGAGATGTGAAGGCAAAGCATGTTCCCAAATGAGGCTTGAGGGATGGTTTCCAAGGGGAAGTGACATCTGTGTAGCAGCCTGGAAGGGAGAAGAAACTCCTGAGGAAGAGACTAGAAAAATGGGAATAGATGAAACAGCCACACTCGAAGGGAAGAAAGAGGTGAGCACCTTTCCTCCAGTGAGTTAACAGTTGTAACTCTAGTCCCTAGAACAGAGTTATCGAAACAAACTTTTAGCTAACTCATAATTTCTTAAATGTTGATAGAATAACATTGCTTAACACAGTTAACGTCATCCAGCTAGAGCTTATGAAGGGCATCATATTTAATGTTGAAACTCAGAAGCATTCTCATTACAATCAGAAACAAGGTAAGAGTGATTTCTGTTATCTTTGTTATCCAACATTGTTTTGGAGACAAGAGTTAACAGTAAACAATATATATTTTGAGACAGTAGAGGCAAACTCATTCATTTGTCTTCTTTGGATGATACACTTATCTATATAGAATACTCAAGACCCTACATATAACTCAGAGGAGATCAAAGTTACTGATACAAAATAAATATATAAAAATCAAGAATATTCTTATACCTCAGCAATACCCATAGAATGTAAGAGAAAACAAAAGCCTCTATATGCCAGTAACAAAACCATGAAAAATAAATTTAATAAAAGATGTGCAAGATCTTTTTGGACAAAATTATAAAATGTTAACAAAATATATAATATAGAATGGGAATATATGAGTTAAACAATGTTATAGAGAATTAATCCATAAATGCAAAGTAAAATTAATCAAATTATTATACATTACAACTCATAGAGTCTGCATCTAAAATTTATTGCTTCAACTGTACAGTAAGGATCCTTTATAAAATATAATATTTGGGGGAATAGTATGTAAAAAATTTTCAGCTATTTCTTGATAAGAAATATGAAGCCACAGCTTTAGGAAGCACAGCATACTTTAAAGCAAATCAACAAAAATAATTTTACAATGAAACGTAATGAAGACAGAAAAAGGAAAGCAGGCTTCTACTTCTAGCCATGACCCAGTAACGTAGTGTGGGACTTACATTCCTGACATGAACAATAAAACCAGGTAAAAAATACAAATCAACCGTGTACAAGCCTTGGATCATAAGCAGCTGAGAACTCTCATCCGTGAGAGAGGGGAAACGCATGAAATGACCCCCTACTCACCATAGCTCTCCAGGGAGAAGTCCCAAAATGCAGCAGAGGGAAGCAAAGCTAAAACAGAGCTTTACGGAGTCGCTAATGAGGAGGCAGAGAGTTCGAGGCTACTGAAACAGCTGAACTTTGCATGGCAGATTACCAGAAAGGAGAACATAGTGGACAGAGGGACTCCTAAGTATCTGTCTGCGTTTCTCAAAAGTCCTTAAGGCCAGGGTGGGATTCTGCATTGCCTAGCACAAAGTGCAAGGTTCAGAGTGGAGCTGATATTGCATAGCTGTGGTAGATGTAGTACTGTGGCCCAGTTAGAATGGAAGGGCATTGTTAAGTTAATACCTGGGCATCCAGCTGATATACCAGCAAGGTCACACCTTAGGAGCAAAAACTGTATCTGAAAGTTACGTAACCTTCCTTAAGGAAACCTAAAATGAAGCCTCAACAAAATACGGTAGAGATGCTAGCAAATTTGCATCCCATTAAAACAAAATTCAGTGTTCTAAAAAAGACATTAATCCAGACTTAACAACAATTGATCATTTACAAAAACCAGCATTCTTGCTTATTCCCTAGACATGAGAATAGGCAAGAAGAGAAATATCTATTTATTTAATCCAAAAAGAAGACTGAAAAAGAGAAACAATATGACAAGAGATAGGATAGAAAACAAGCAGAAATATGGTATATATAAACCCAAATATATCAATAACTGCAATAAATGTAAATGCACCAAACACTCCAATTAAAATGCAGATTATCAGACTTTGTAATAAAGTGAGACTCAACAAAATGCAATCTACAGAGGTTCACTTTAAAATATGAAGATACTACCATATGATCCAGCAATTCCACTACTGTGTGTGTATAGGTGTATAGACAGACAGATAGATAGACAGACAGATAGAAAAGAACTCAATGTATTGGAGAGCTATCTGCACTCCAATGTTTATTGCAGCACTATTCACAATATATAGAATCAACCTAAGCAACCACTAATGGATGAATGGATAAAGAAAATATGGTATCTATATACACAATGAAGTATTATTCAGATATAAAAAATAAAATCCTGTCAACTGCAGCAACATGGATGGAAACAGAGGTCATTATGTTAATGAGATAAGCCAAGCACAGACACACAAATATTGCATGTTCTCACTCATATACGGGAGTTAGAAGAGGGGATTTCGTGAAGATAGAGAATAGACTGGTGGTTACCAGAGGCTGGGAAGTGTAGTGGGGAAGGAGGTTGAAGAGGGGTTGATTCATAGACACAAATAGTTAGACAGAAAGAGTAAGACCTACTATTTGATAAATCAGCAAGGTGACTATCGTTAACATATATCTATTGTACCTTTCAAAGTAACCATAAAAGAATAATTCAAATGTTCCTAGCATAAAGAAAAGGTAAATACTGACAGTGATGGATATCCTAAATATCCAAATTCAGGCCAGGCACGGTGGCTCACGCCTGTAATCCCAGCACTCTGGGAGGCTGAGGCAGGTAGATCACGAGGTCAGGAGATTGAGACCATTCTGGCTAACACGGTGAAGCCCTGTCTCTACTAAAAATACAAAAAATTAGCCAGGCGTGGTGGTCGGTGCCTGTGGCCCCGCTACTCTGGAGGCTGAGGCAGGAGAATGGCGTGAACCTGGGAGGTGGAGCTTACAGTGAGCTGAGATCGGGCCACTGCACTCCAGCCTGGACAACAGAGTGAGACTCCGTCTCAAAAAAAAAAAAAATCCAAATTCAGTCTTTGCATATCATATACATGTATCAAATTATCTCATGTATCCCAAAATATGTACATTAATTATATATCAAAAAATAAAACTGTTAGAGGAAAACAAAAATAAAATATAAAGACACAACTAGGTTTAAAGTAAAAGTATGACAAAAGTACATCATGTACACATTAAGCACATGGAAGTCACAGAAGGATACATGTATATCAGACTAAGTGGATTTCAAGATAAGAAGCATGAGAGATGAAAAAGAACGGCCGGGCGCGGTGGCTCACGCCTGTAATCCCAGCACTTTGGGAGGCCGAGGCGGGTGGATCATGAGGTCAGGAGATCGAGACCATCCTGGCTAACAAGGTGAAACCCCGTCTCTACTAAAAATACAAAAAATTAGCCAGGCGTGGTGGTCGGTGCCTGTGGCCCCGCTACTCTGGAGGCTGAGGCAGGAGAATGGCGTGAACCCGGGAGGCGGAGCTTGCAGTGAGCCGAGATTGCGCCACTGCAGTCCGCAGTCCGGCCTGGGCGACAGAGCGAGACTCCGTCTCAAAAAAAAAAAAAAAGAAAAAAAAAAGAAAAAGAACATTTCATGCTAAAAGAGCAAAATCAACAGAGAAATGTAACAATCCTCCATGTGTCTGTGGCTAATAACTGTCTTGAAAAATATGAGCGAATCTGGCAGAACTAAAGAGAGAAGTAGAAGAAATTCCAACTTGGAGTTGTAGATTTTGACTCTTCTCTCAGAAATGAATTGAAAAAGGAGACAAGAAATCAATAAGGATATAGAAAATCTGACCTCAGAACATTATACCCAGCAACTGCAGAAAACACGTTTTTTTCCCAAGTGCATGTGAAATTGCCCCAGATATACCATATGCTGGCAATATAATGAGTGTTAATACATTTCAAGACTAATGAGAAAAAAAGAAAAAAATTACATCGTCAGAAAAAAAAGAGGCTACATCACTACATATCCTCTCATCATGTAAGAATAAGGAAATATTATCTACAAGTCAATGTCAGCAACAAATTAGATGAAAATACACGTTTCTTAAAAACTCAGTTTACCAAAATCGACACCAGAAGATACAGAATACCAGAAAACTATTTACTTATTAAACAGATTTGTAATAATATACTTTCCTGCAAACAAAAGCCCAGATACACTGATGCATCCTAACAAATGAATCATGTCCATTTTCACACAAACTGTTTTCAAAGTAGCAGAGGACACTTCCCTAATTAACATTATGAGGCTATCTGTAATGACACCATGTTGACTATAATAAAGACTGGCATGGTCATTGTAAGAAAAAAATGTACAGCATTAAGTTTTCTTACAAACAAAGATATCCACCCTATTTCTCCTCAATTCAACACCCAGGAATTTACTCAAG
Source organism: Homo sapiens (assembly GCF_000001405.40). Taxonomy (NCBI): domain Eukaryota; kingdom Metazoa; phylum Chordata; class Mammalia; order Primates; family Hominidae; genus Homo; species Homo sapiens. The sequence continues at coordinate 10,450,633 of NC_000010.11, read as the reverse complement.
AGAAATGAAAACACTTATTACCCAAAGAATTGTAGATGATACTCATAATTAACTTATCCACAATAGCCAAGAACTAGAAATAAGAATATGTTAACAAGTGGATGAAGAAACAAATTCTGGTGATTCATACAATGGAGTAAGTATGTAGAAATAAAAATAATCAAACTGATGATATACACAAGAACAGATATTTTGTAGGTATTGTATTTAATAAAAGGAGCCAGATATAAAATAATACATAGAGCTCTGTAACAGGCGAAACTAATCTATGCTAATAGAGATTAGAGCAACGGTAAGAGGAGTTGGAGTGAGGAGACTGGACCATGCCAAGGTGAAAAGGAAACTTTCAGGGGAAAGAAGCACTGGGGCTGCTTGTTACGTGGATGTGTGTATTTGTCAGCGCTCACTGAGCTGCACACTGAAATCTATGCACATCATTTTATATTTTGTGTGTAAAGTTTATAATAAAAGTGAAAATTAGAGAAACCAGAACACCTATGAAAGAAGGACAATGGGAATAACTGGATATATACTAAATACAACAATGTAAGCTGGAAGAAAATGGAATATTAACACAAAAACACAAAGGATATTCTAAACAAGTATGTAGGTTTAAATTTTGTCTCTGTAAAATGTTATAAATATCTAATTTGTGAAGTTTTCATGAAAAAAGAGAACTGAAATGTTAGAGAAAAACAGCATGTATGTCAGGGGAAAGATGATCTGAGTTAAAGTCTTTGAGTCTTGTTTTCTAGAAAGGCTCTCCTATGGTTCTGACCCTTGTGAGGTTATACGTTAATGGAAAAATTTCAAGAGTAGCCACTAACAGAAAAGAAGAAGCTTAAATATCAAATCAGAAGAGAGAAAAATATTAAAAATAAAATAGATAAAATGAAAATATAATAAAAGAGAAAGAATTATAGTTGTTAGGGACATTCACATAGTGATTCTTACAACCATCCCCCAACAGGTTAATCGGCTCATATGTATAATGATTTGAATCCTTCCCACAACTTCATGGCTTCACTATTACCCGAATTTTATAGAGAAGGAAAGTGTGACACACAATGTCAAAAAGCTACTTCACTTAGTAGCAGATTCAAACTTAGGCAGTTTGGTTACGAAATCCATTTTGGAACCAATATCCTATTCTTCCTTGAAAGGCAGAGCAAAGATAAATTTAAAAGAGATATAATGAAAGGAATTCCAAAATGACAATAATTTCAATAAATGTGAAAGAAGTTACTGGTAAAAATACTTCTCAAAGGAATTTCAAAAGTTACAGCCCTGTGCCACTGGAAGTGGTAAATGTAAAATACGGCAAAATTGAATGTCAAAGAATGTCAAAGAATGGAAAAAGAGGTAAACGCAAACCAAAATAAAGATTAGGTAGCTATATTTATATAGAAATACAGTTTAAGATAAAAAATATTGAGGTTAGAAAGGATCATTAGACAATAAAAATATTCTATTCGCTGGGAACTTACAGCTTTACAAACTTGTATGCAACTTATAAAACAGGCCCCAAAGTTTACAGCAAAAATGAAAAGAACTACTGTGGGGTTCATGGTGAATAAATGATGAAATCATTCAAAGAGGACCTCAAGCCCTAGAGTGGAGAATTCTTATCTTTTATTGTTTTAAATAATGATTAGACATAAATGTATACACCATAATGCTTTTAAATATAGTAATAGATATTTTTGCCAATAAAGTCTTTGCTACTTGCTATTATTTCTTAAGTAAAACTTATAAGGAGAAATTACTGATTTAGAAATTAAATAATTTTCAAGGTTTGATATTTATTATGTATATTATTGAGTTTACTTTCTGAAAAATTAAACTTACACTTAAAATACAGATATAATTTTCAATATTTTAAGAAGGTTTTACCAATTTGAATAGATAAAATATAGTGAATGTAGATTATTTTAATTTTGAACTCCAGATTTAAGTAATACAGGTTTCTTTCATACAAGTCATGATGCATACTCGTGTATGAGCTTTTCATGTTTTACACAATTTCTATTAGCATGTTTATGTTATTTTTGACTCATAAGAGCTTTCATATATTAAAAATATAGAACTTCAATTTGTAAATATTATTTCAAGTTTTAATGTAGTTCAAGTACTGCCTATAAACAAATTTTTCATTAAGAAGCTTAAAGGTTTAATATACTCTAATGTGTTTCCGTTATGTTTTTCTTTATTGCATTGAGAAAATATTTTATTATTTCAAGATTAATGATTTCCACATATTTACTATGCTTGTAAATTAAATGGACATATAATTATTATTTTAGCAAAAAATCGTAATAAAAGCAGAGTTGAGTGAATTACAATTAGAATTGAATAAAATGAAATAAATCAAGACATGTTGAAAGTATTGATAGTGGCACATAAATTGAGAAAAATTTAGAGTCATGAATGTTTATAGATTAGTCAACCAAAAGAAGTAGAGAAAGGCAATAAAAATTAGAAACAGATGAAATAGAAAATAAAGATACCACAGATATATTAAAAAATTAATAGTTTTCTTAAGAAGTAAAAAAACAGGCCGAGCATGGTGGCTCACGCCTGTAATCCCAGTGCTTTGGGAGGCCAAGGCGAGTGGATAACCTGAGGTTGGGAGTTTGAGACCAGCCTGACCAACATGAAGAAACCCCATCTCTAATAAAAATACAAAATTAGCCGGGAGTGGTTGCATATGCCTGTAATCCCAGCTACTCGGGAGGCAGAGGCAGGAGAATCGCTTGAACCCAGGAGGCAGAGGTAGTGGTGAGCCGAGACTGTGCCATTGCAATCCAGCCTGGGCAACAATAGCAAAACTCAGTCTCAAAAAATAAAAAGTAAAACAAAACAAAACAAAACAAAAAACAGCTCTCATAAAACATGAGGGGATGTCATTAGAAGAGGGGAGATTTAACATATTATTGGAGAATCCCATAAATGACTTGAAGCCAGTAAGTCAGAAACCTTGGACCAAACAAATTCTTAGAAAAATATAATGATAGAAAGCTGAAGAAGAAATAGCAAGCTTAAATAGCCTAATAACCATAGAAATAAAATTAGTGTTAAAAATTATCACAAAAAATTACCATCCCAAATGACTTTGTCAGTAAATTCTATGTAACTTTGAAGGAAAGGTTTCCCATTATTCTGCATTTTCCAGAATATGGTAAAAAATAGAAATACCCTAATATCATGAGACCAGCAGAAGCTTAAAGCCAATCTCAGCTGTTATTAATTACTGTGAATAAGAATGGGAATTAACTGGTTATGGGATTGACACATAAAATTCTATTTCTTTTTTTATTATACTTTCAAGTTTTAGGGTACATGTGCACAACGTGCAGGTTAGTTAGATATGTATACATGTGCCATGTTGGTGTGCTACACCCATTAACTCGTCATTCAACCTTAGGTATATCTCCTAATGCTATCCCTCCCCCAACCCCCCACACCACAACAGGCCCCGGTGTGTGATGTTCCCCTTCCTGTGTCCATGTGTTCTCATTGTTCAATTCCCACCTATGAGTGAGAACATGCGGTGTTTGGTTTGCAAGGACAAAATTCTATTTCTTTACATGAACAAATGAGAAACAAAAATTACAAAAATATGTATGCCATTTACAAAGACAATAAAGTTACAAGAAAAATCTCACAAAAATTGTGCAAGACAAGACTGGAGAAAACCAGATAATTTTGTTGAAAGCTTTAAAAAATGATTTAACTAAAAAGAGATATCATATTCATGAATTGTAAGGCTCATATTATATTTAATTCTTACTCAAACATATTTATAGATTCAATGACATGTCAATAAAATTCAAAAAGTCTTTCTAAGTTGATTCTCATTCTTATATAGAATACACTAGACCAAAATTTGCCACAAAAATTCTAATAACACAACGTGTTTATGTGCATGAGTTGCTCTACCAGGTATCAAAACCTATTATTAAGCAATAGATAGTGTGTTATTGGCCTAGGGATAAAGAAATTGATCAGTGGAACAAAACAGAACACTTAAAAACAGATCCATCCATGAAATCTGGCATCCATTGTCACAGCAAGTATGCAATAAAATGGGTCATTTAATTCAAAGTTATGTTCTGTGGCATTTTATGTCAGTAAATTGAGCATTCTGTAATTCATCTGAGGGTGGTGCTTGCAGGGGAACAGGGTATGTAAGGCAGACTCATATCCTGAGTGTTAGTTCTGGCATGAATGAATCGCTGCCCCTCTGGGATCGAAGACATTCGGATGTATTAGATTTTCCACAAGGTGACGGACTGTCCTCTTTGCACAATGTTATATGTTGAGACCTCAGATCTGGGCTCTGCTACTGACAGGGCTGAACATTCAGGAGTAACAGTAGGTAGCTGAGTCTCTGCATGAAGAAATTGGGGGTATCTGGCTTATTCATAACCACCACTTCTCTCATCATAACTACTCCATTTATGGGGCCACTGTGGAAGACAGGATAGAGTCTGCCTGCCATTTGCCCCTAAATGCATCCTGTCTACCTAGCTGTTGAAGGCCTCCTTTACTGATACATATTGATTATGCCTACACTCTTGGGTCTTCCCTCTATTTTCCTCCTCTTCATTTCCAATCTTTCAGTGTGGGTATTACCAGGTCCTTATTCATGAAAAAAGCAAATCATTGCTACTGCCCAGAAATGCATGCATCTTCTTACCTCAGGTTATTTTTCTCTCCATACAAAAAACATGACTGAGTCTGTCTACTGCTTGTGGCTCTACAAACTGATTTTCTTCTCCTCATTGTTCTTTGAGGTCATTCCCGAGTAGGGCTGTAGTACAGCATCAGACCAATTCTGTCTTTGCCAACATGCTGAGCTAACCTACTTCCAGAGGAAGACTTTTATTTTCTTTTTGGTTCATTGTTAGGCGGTTTTAGAGAATGGCCAAGGAGGCTCTACTTGTGTGTGGGACACCCATCAACACAAAAAATGTTGGCAATATGGAGATCTGAGGCATCTGTTCTTGTAATTTTGAGGGCCATCTGGAAATGCTCAGGACAAATTCTTAATGTACAACTCACATCATATGATGGATTGTGACTGCACCTGTCCAACTTTGTAACTTGGTGAATCTGACTATACTCAACTCATTATGTAGTTCCAGTGGTTAGGCACTTGCTCTCTGCTAGGGCTGGGTAGCATGCCAGAAGTTGCTTTTCAAACCCCAGACAGTACCTTGCTTCAGAACTCTTGTGTTCTTTGCAGTGCCTCATTTACTGGGGATGACCAGAGGCTTTATGTTAGTACATTATCCACCATAGATCCCTCTAGCCCCATTGGATCTGCCAGGTCATACAGTCTGGACCTGTGACAAAGTTCTCTCTCATTCTTTGCCCTTAAAACCGGCAGCCTCTGAGTCACTTCATAAATGATCAGGGCACTTTGTGCAAAAATGGTTTATGCTACCTCCAAAATACAGATAAAACTACTAAGCCTGTGGCCATGTTTCTCTTAGTGGTAGGGAATGTATGGTTCAATAACCCTTTCCCTTAGATAGAATAGAGTACCACAGCATGCTCCAGATTAATGAAATCTTGTGAACATTACGAAAGTGGCAGGTGTCTGAATTTTAATTTTGTAGAGTACATAGTGCCCTCTGGCATGTTATGTACCTTTTCAGGGTATCAAGAATACTTGCCACTTTCTGCTCACTAGAGCATTTTAATATATGATTAATATGGTGGCTAAACACGGTAGTTTTCAGAATGACAAGATGATCCAAGTCTTTACAGAATACGTTGTGACAAAGAACAGGAGAACTGACACAGCCTAGAGGAAAGACAGTACATGTGCACTTCTACTGTTCCCATGTAAAAACATGTGGCTTTGGTTCCCTTTACCCCTGAATTTTGAAAATAATTTACTGTATCAATTATAGTCACCATATCAATACTTGCATACCCCAAATCTGTGATGATCTGTTATATTAGCAGACACACAGTGTGGAGGCTCCTCAGGGTACCTGACCACATATGGTCCAGATACAGCAACAACTATAGTTATGAGTACATTCACCAATATTCTAGATCTCCTCTCCATCTAGGCACAGAAATGGATTGCATTTCCCTGCCCTTTTCGAAATGAGGCTAAGTCTATTTGAAGGGCTTTGGCCAGTAAAAGGGCAAAGTCACATTCATCACTTCTCGGTGGTAACTGTTAGCCAGTGTGTTAGCATCTACATTTGCCCCCATTGCCATGGTCATTATCAAAGTGTTGATGTATGTCTATTCCTGCCCCAAATAACCTGTGTTGGTCATGCCCCTGTGAGCAAGAAGTAAAACTTTAGTTGTGTTAAGCCACTGAGATTTTGGGGTCATGTACAACGTTAATATATCCAGAGGCTGGGAAAATATGGCCTACTGCCTGTTTCTGTCATACCATGTTGTTGAACCCTGGTATAACCGATGCTATCATGATAAAAAATGAAGAAAAATACCTTAAATCTGAAATGCAGCTCCACACTGAGCATAAGTAGGAATAATTGTTTTCCTAAGCCACTCAATTTTGGCATGACTTATTATGCAGCATTATTGTGGCAGTACCTAATGGATATACTATGTGATTTAATTCCATAAAGTTGTATTTTTTTTTTTTTTTTTTTTTGGAGACGGAGTTTCGCTCTGTCGCCCAGGCTGGAGCGCAGTGGCATAATCTCGGCTCACTGCAAGCTCCGTCTCCCGGGTTCACGCCATTCTCCTGCCTCAGCCTCCTGAGTAGCTGGGACTACAGGCGCCCGCTACCACGCCTGGCTAATTTTTTGTATTTTTAGTAGAGACGGGGTTTCACTGTGTTAGCCAGGATGGTCTCGATCTCCTGACCTTGTAATCTGCCTGCCTCGGCCTCCCAAAGTGCTGGGATTACAGGCGTGAGCCACCGTTCCGGGCCAATTCTATAAAGTTTTAACACAGACAAAATTCAGGAAAGGTATTTGAAGTCACAATGGCAGTCACCCTTTGTGAGTGGTGACTGGAGGAAGCCCCAAGAGGGTGGCTGAGTTGCTGTGATGTTCTGGTTCTTGATCTATGTGGTAGATACACAGGAATATTCAGTTTCTGAAAGTTCATCAGGTTTAAATAACTCGATGAACTTCTGATTTTAGTTTTCCTTATGCCAAGAAGTTTTCCATATTTTCTTTGTGTCAAGAAGATAGAGGAATGAGCAATACCTATGTGTCTTTATATTGAATGATTTATGAGGCATATAGTTAAGAGCAAAAGGCAATCATAGAATAGCCAGTATGAATAGTATGCCACCATTTGTGTGAAATTCAAAAGGTGGATATGGATACATACATTCTGGCATATAAAAAATATCTCTAGAATGATAAATTTAGTTGCCTTTAGAGCGAATAACTGAAAAGTCAGAGTAGAGATTAAATAAACTTTTAACTGAGGAACCCCCTTTTTAAAAACTGATTTTTTTAACCACGTGTATATAACTTAAATTTTAAATACCAAAATTAGATTTATAATGTATATACTATACTAGTAACTCTTCCATTATATCTGTTTCTGATTGCTACTATTACTTAAATAACAATGTGATAACATCCTTAATTTTGTTTCACTATTTAACATAGATTTCTGAAAAGATGATTGGATCCAGAAATGGATGAGAGATTTCCTTGAAGATTAAGTGATTTATTCACAGATATTTACATTTTATATCTTACTGTATCTTTTTGTTATAGGTAAAATTATGTTTCATATTTTTGGACAAAAATTTAGAAATTTTTAGGATGAGAACTTGTAAGTCTAGAGTTCTTTGGATGATTTATGAAAATTTGATTTGCATTATTACATATATATTTTAATTTTTATGTGGCCCAGGCTCAAAATGCTGGGCTGAAACAATCCTCCTGCCTCAGCCTTCCAAGATTGTTTGGATAACAGGCATATACCTCAGTGCCCAGCTAAAATTCTTTGTTGTTTTTTCATCTTGCTATTTAAAGAGCATTATTCTAAAAATGTATTTATTGTATATATTTAAGGTATACAATATATTTTGATATATTCACAGTGAAATTATGAAAGTCAAACAAACCAATCTATCACCTTCTGTAGTTACCTTTTGTGATAAGAGAACCTAAAATCATAGCAAATTTTCAGTATACAATGTTATCAACTATAGTCTTCATGTTTTGGGTTGGATCTCTAGATTTATTCATTCTCACAACTGCAAATTTGTACCCTTTGGCCTACATCTCATTTCCTTCCCCTCATTCCCAGTATCCACAATTCTACTGTTTCTATTTATTCAACCTGTTTTAGATTCTGCATACAAATGAGATCACACAGTACTTTTTCCCCCTATGTCTGGCTTACTTCACTTAGCATAACGTCCTCCAAGTTCATCCGCATTGTGGTAAATGGTAGAATCTCCTCTTTTAAGGTTGAATGCTATTTCATTGCATTTTTCTATGTGCAATCCTAAAGGGTGATTTTTAGGATGGAGCATAGGGTTATCCAGCCACTTCTTAGCCTGTATTAAGAATCACAGCACATAATCACACATATACACACAGAGCTCTACAAATTTTTGGTGTACAGTGGCTTCATCTACCTTCAACTCTATGGCTGAGGGGCTTTTCTTATGGGTCATTTGGCTGCCACAGTAGGCAGTGTGAATTAATCATTCCTTTTGTCTAAATATCTTCTTTCTTCCTTTATTTGTATAGAGGAGAAGGAAGACTTGTGTCTTTTGTCATTTCCATTTCTGAGAGTTTCCTCTCCATTCTGCCCATTGGTCTCCTATTTTCACGGTTTCTCCTGGCAGAGAAAGACCCTCCTGTCATTTTAATAATCAATAGCAGATTGCAATTCTTCATGCTCTTCCAGTATTTTTCCAGTGGAGGGAGGAATTTCTGCCACATATGTGGTTATGTCCTAAGAGGTGTCATGTAATGACACAATCAAAATATCTTTATATCTGTAGATATAAAATATCTAGATATAAAACATCTGGATATAAAATATCTATATGCATAAAATCAAAATCAAAATATCTAGCATATGATTCACTGATTTTACTTCAAAAATAAAAATTCTCCAGGTGTTAATGCATTAGCATCATGGTCATTTTTGTTTAATCTTTATTAAAAATGATTGAAAAAGCCATTTGGATGAAGACACAACTCTCAGTTCTCCTTGTATCATGTTAGTAACTTGATATATTTTACTTCAAGTTTTTTAAGAACTTGAATTGACCCGAAATAAAATAACTATTGGCTGTTTTTTTCCTACAATTATGAGCCTTTAATGGAAAAGATGACATTATCAATTCTCAAACGTACTCTTATTTGAAAAACAATCTACTGAATGATATTACATTGCAACTACCTAGAATCTCTTAATTCTAAGAAAGTATGTCAAGGGCAAGAATTCTGTTGTAAATACCAATTCTACCCTTGTAGAATTATCTTATGCAAATCACTTCATATGTCAGTGCATATTAGAAGGAACTGGCAGAAGTTCCTCCAACATTTGTGTTACCTTTGATTTTTTTCATGGTTAAAATATGGTTAATAAAATCATGTTGTTGTGCTATTCACAGGGATATTTGGTGGCAAGTATTGCTATACTTCCCTATAATAGTTTTGATGATTGTAAGATGTTAACATTGCTATATGAATCTCATATCGTTAGAACATGTTCCCTGTGTACCTAAGTCAATTGTTGATATAATTTAAGACAAAGAAAAGCGATCACTAAAGAGAAGTATGGATTTGTGATGAGTTCGAAGTGAATATAGTGTTTCTTAGTGAAAAAACTCTAAGTCAGGAATCTCAGAATGTAAGTCATTTGTTCTGAGTGACATTAAAAAATAAAGCCAATCTTATGTAAATTGAAGGAGTGGAGCACGATTATTGGATGCTTATTAGGGCCCTCTCCTGATCTGATATTCTGTGTATCTTTTACTATATGAATACCCCTTGAGGCTGTCTCTCACTTGTTGGGCTATTTCAGTATCTTGGTCATCTCTGAGATTTTCTTGTTGGCATTAACAAATTAGGATGCATTGGCCCTAAAGGCAATGGTTAGAGAATTATGTCAGAAATAGCAGCTTATGCAATTGCCAGCAGTTCTTTGGAAATTTCTCTCATACTATTCTTTGAGTCGAGTCATGGAATCAAATTATAAGTCAAATTTTAGTGTACAACTTTGTCTTCTGATATGCAAAGAGACAGAGCAGAGAGACTGAATGCTGAAGCAATGCTGGAGGAACTATGATAGAAAGATGCTCAGACTGGTAATTTCTATGTATTATGAATTTCTATCAGATCTTCTCCACTTAAACAGACCCCTTTGGGAGCATGGTCTATTATCATGGATTTTCAGATGCCCCCAACATGGAGTCTACATGGATACAAGGAAATAGTCTATTATATTAATTAGGTTCATTAGCAGCTTTAACGAATTAACTCCCAAACTTTCAGGACTTCAACCTATTTCTTCCTCAAGTAACCATGTAATCTGGATGTTCCTGAACTTTGGAAATCTTTCCTCCAAGCTGTGGTGTAGGGACCTGTGTTCCTTCCCATTTGTGGCTCTGTCATTCATGAACAAGGTCTGAGAATTCTCTGCTTCCAGCTAATAGACAGTGGGGAAACAGCATGGAAAATGCACACAGTTTCTTTTTCTTTTCTTTTTTTTTTTTTTTATTATACTTTAAGTTCTAGGGTCCATGTGCACAACGTGCACGTTTGTTACATATGTATACATGTGCCATGTTGGTGTGCTGCACCCATTAACTCGTCATTTACATTAGGTATATCTCCTATTGCTATCCCTCCCCTCTCCCCCGCCCCAGGACAGGCCCCGGTGTGTGATGTTCCCCACCCTGTGTCCAAGTGTTCTCATTGTTCGATTCCCACCTATGAGTGAGAACATGCGGTGTTTGGTTTTCTGTCCTTGCGATAGTTTGCTCAGAATGACTGTTTCTTAAGCACCATGGGTTGCACGCACCATATTTATCACTTCTATTGTCATTCTGGACCTAGCGCAAGGACTACTGGGGAACATAGACTCTGGCTGGGCAGTTGCTTTCTAGGGCAACTCTATGCTATGCAAGAAGAAAGCACGATTCCCACAGTTATCCCTGCCCCATCCCATGTGTCAGTTTAGCATTACGAGATATGTGTTAGATCTGTCCCTTAATACCAAGTTCACTGTTTCTTATTAAGTGGCTACCCACACATGGGTGTTTATCAAGTTCATTAAACCATAAATTGAATTTTTGGCCGAGTCCTATCCCAGGATTGACAACTCACACTCCCCTATTGATGACTCTTGAATGACTCTCATCACATTCATTACTAAAACAGAAAGGTTGCCTGAAACAAGCTGTTATTAAACAAAGCAGTCCTGGCTGCATTTATTTGAAGGTAGTCTTCCCCAGTAGATCATTTTTCTTTGGATTATTAACTCAAAGTTCTTGTTTAATGAGGTATAGAACAGCACTGTTTCCAGCATCAGGAGACCTGATACTAAATGCTTACCTCTTTTGACCTCAGGTTTCTCACCTGCAAAATGCATTTAGACTGACCAATCTCCAAAAGCTCTTCATGCTCAAAAGTCTCTACAGAGTCAATTGGAAACCTATTATGTTGCTTGTGTACCTTAGCCCCTTTGAAGTTCTGTTTTCTCATCTTGTGGTCATGCATATTGATGTGTTAGCCACATTGACTATGCTCATGTCTGAACACTTTTGCCAGTGTGATCTGTCAACTTGTCACTGCTTCCTAGACCTCAGCAACTCTGCTGTAATTTCTGATCATGCTTGAGTGTCTTCTGGAAGCACCCTTTCCCTCCATCACTTCAATAGCTGGAATGTGGCCTATATGCTCAAATTCCTAATCAACTTTTTGAAGCATTAAGCCTTAGCTTATGATAACTGAGATATCTAACCTTTGAAAACATATTCCCCAGGTAGACACCACTCTCTTCTCTTTGAATCTAATTTAGTACCCATGAAACGTGATCCATTTGATGGGACCATCTGTTTTTTTTCTTCTGCCAAAGACACTCTGCACATTTTGGCAGCTTCTCTAAGTGTACTCAGTAACTCATGCCAAGTACAGTTGGAATGCACCATGAATCTCAACTCTGAAAACAACTGAACTAAGCAGTGTTCATCTTAAACTGACTGATGTGCAGTGAGTCAAGCAACACTGGCCTATATACCTTAAGGTGTGGAGGGGAAGAGGAAGGGAGAATAAGTTGATGTGATAACTTCTGCACTGTAAACTGGGGGCAGTGATTTGGATTCACAGGATAGTGACAATTTTGGGATTTTTCTTCCCTGAAGTCTACTCCCCAATTTTGGGATTACAATCTCTATTCACATAAATATCACTGTGATCCTTTTTATACACATGACCCTGTGTATGTCTGTACCCAGTTGATTGGTTCAGAAGCAACATCTAAGTCTGAAGGAAGCTACATTTAGGACTCAGATTTCCAATATGGTATTTCTCAAGTCACTGTAGCCATACGAGCAACAGCTTGGGTGTTATACGACATGAGTCTCCCACATGGACCAGAAAAAGAAAGATTGACTGTCTTCAATGAGAGCGAGAAGAGGCAGGGTGAGAGGGAGGATATGAGGAAGAAAAAAAGAGTAGAAACGTTCAGATGAAGACAGAGTTCTGACATTATTTGTGCACTTGTGTCTGTTTTTCCCCCAGCCCAGTCATATTTTGTTTCTTAAATTCTAAGAGGTAGAGCATTTAAAAAATAAATTGTTTTTGCTTAGGCAAGTTATGCTATCTGCAAACTAAATTTTAACTTATACATACAAGGGAACAAAGTAAGATTTAGTATCTTTCCAGTTAACACAAGTCTTGGCTTATATTAGTTAATTTCATTAATTGATTAAAGAATCTAGACTAAAAATGAAGTTTGAACCATTTGGAGGTCTGATCTCATTTTTAGAATCATTGACTCCAAAAGATGGTAGTCTTTATAGCTTATCTGTCACAAACAGTGTCCATGCTTTCTGTGTGTCCAGATTCTGAAGGGTTAATCTTATAAAATATTTATACCCTTAAACCAGACTTAACATTTAATTAGATAAAATATTATGATGCTATAGTTTTTTCTGCTTTAATATTAAACTTTAAGGGATGCTTTATAAGACCATCATAGTTCTCATTTGTATATCAGAAAAGCCAAACACAAAATATGGAAGTACAAAGCATGTATTCAGAAGTAAGCTTAAAATAAAGCTTGGTGATTTTGAAAGGCTGTATTCAATTTGTTCACACTGTGGTGAAGAATAACAGTCAAAGAGGCAGGTATCGTTCCTGATTTTTATCAAAAATTCACATCATATCAGTGATAACATTTTAAAAAACTTTATAAATATCTCTTTAAAAAGTTAAATGAAATATTCAGTGACTTTGTGTCAGTGTCTAGAAAAAGGAACTTCAAACTAGATGCAAATGTGTCTTACCCATTTTTAATTAACTCTTGAGAGTGATTTTAAAAACATTGGTTTTATGTATGCTTAAGGAAACTTGTTAATACTATATTTTTTTTCTGGCTTTTGATTGAATTTGCTTTGCTTTAAATTGGGGAGTCGTTTTAGGAAACATTATCTTTTCCAACCCCAGGATCCCATTCACTGAGGAGGAAATGAAGAGTCCTCATCTTTTTAGATGGAGCTCTTTGTTAGAATCCTGGCTTCGGAAGTTGCTGTTTTTCGTAGGGCATGTCCTTTAACCTCTCTGAATCCTGTTTTGCTCATCTCTAGTAAGATAATAAAGTTTGACTTAAGAGGTGATTGCAGAATTAAAGACATGGTAGACATATAGCAGGCAAGAAATAAATAGTTGACATTGTTGTTCACACCAATGTCCTCAGCCAAAATAGAAATTCTATTTGGCTCCCATTAAAGTTTTCATGAATGAACTGGCTTATTCTATTCTTGACAACGCATAGCATTACTCCCTCTGCAAATGCAAGAGGGCAGAAAAACGAGGACTCTGCTTACTGCTGTGATGCTGAAGAAGGTTCAACCAAAGAAGCCTCACATCTTTTGTTCTCCTGGCTGAAAACCATGTATTTGGGTGGTTTTCTTTTAATAACATTCTTTGTCAGCTGGGTTGAATTCCCCAATTTATTATGTGTATTTGACGTTCTTTTACCACACAGATATTAATAAAGAAGGAAATAATATAGAAGTAGTTACCTTCCCTCTCCCCATAGAATAAAAGGCATAAAACCATCATATTTTCATTTGGTCAAACAATCAGAAAGTAGACAAATACATATGGAAATTTAAAGATTTTTCTATTTTTTTCTCACAGGAAGAAGAGCAATGTTAAAAAAAAAAGTACATTTCAAAGTGATGAATGAAAACAGCCTTTGAATGATGGATTTAGAAAACGTACTTGTTCCATAAAAAATATCTCACAGTAGAAAATAAATTTTCTCATTATCAAGGTTTTCAATTATTATCAAATAAACCATTTGAGTCATGTCTTTTAGTATTAAAGTCAAGGAAAGCATTGGTGTCCCATTTGCAGTGATTCATAGTAAGTTTAGCAGATTCACGATGGCTGGGTTTATTCAAATTTGTCATTGAGCATTCAAAAACAATTCTCTAAATACATTTTCTATTTGTTATCATATAAATCAGTGCAAACAAACCTCCATGATGTTTAAGGGCTTAAATATTCATTCTAAGTGTTCACTCTGGGTGTTTTAGTTTTACTATCCCTTGGTGTGTCAACCTTTATTTTGCTTACTAAGAATATCCTAGTGTAGGTGAGTTACTGGTAGGGACACAGCAAGCACTCAACTCTTCTTTAAAATTTATTTTTATATTAGAAATTTGTATTTTGACCTTCATATTTGAAAATGTGTGTCTTCTCTTTACATAGCATATCCTTTGGCTCAGTTATAATTACTTACTTGCCTGTTTCAGTAAGTTCTAACCAGAAGGATGCACAAAAGTTAGATGCAACCCAAGGAGGGAAAAAGTGTGAATGGGTTTGCATATCATTTCTCAAGTAACATACATCAGTGACAAAAAGCCGTGAAACTTTACTTTTTTCTAATCGTTTACTGTTGCAGCTTTTACATCAGGTGCATTATTTATTTAATTTATAAAATTCAACTCAACCAAGTTGCGTGATGGTAGAATTCATAAAACCACTCATTTCAGCTGGGTACGGTGGCTTACGCCTGTAATCCCAGCACTTTGGGAGGCCGAGGCGGGCAGATCATGAGGTCAGGAGATTGAGACCATCCTGGCTAACACGGTGAAACCCTGTCTCTACTAAAAATACAAAAAGTTAGCTGGGCATGGTGGCGGGCAACTGTAGTCCCAGGTACTTGGGAGGCTGAGGCAGGAGAATGGCGTGAACCTGGGAGGCGGAGCTTGTAGTGAGCCGAGATCGCGCCACTGCACTTCAGCCTGGGTGACAGAGATTCTGTCTCAAAAAAAAAAAAAAAAAAAGAAACAAAACAACAACAACACTCATTTCATCCTTACATACCCTATTAGCTATTTCCCCAATTCATTACACTTTTTTTTTTCTTTCTGGTTTTACGTATACAACTTTAAGTCATGTTTCTTTTAGTTTTTTTTTTTTTTAACCTACTCTCCCTCCACAATTTAAAGAGCTTGTGGATATCAACAGGTTGAATGAAATTTTACCAGGAGTTAACTTATCTGCTATGAGTAATTCAACAGTGTGTTATTAAGACAATGTGGAGGCATAAAAAGGCAAAACATTTTTTACTTTCCAACTTTTATTTTAGGTTCAAGGGGTACATGTGTGGGTTTGTTACATGGCTAAATTGCATGTTGTAGGGGTTTGGTGTACAACAACTTTGCCAGGTAGTGATAGGTAGTTTTTCAATCTTTACTTTTCTCCCACCCTCCACCCTCAATAAGGCCTGGTATCTATTGTTGTTCTTTTTGTCCACGTGTATTCAATGTTTATGTCCCACTTGTAAGTGAGACCATGCAGAATTTGGTTTTCTGTTGCTGTGTTAATTTGCTTAGGATAATGGCTTCCAGCTGCATCCATATTGCTGCAAAAACCGTGATTCTATCCTTTTTCATTGCTGTGTAGTATTCCATGGTGTACATGTACCACATTTTCTTTATCCAGTCCACTGATGTGCATGTAGATTAATTCCATGTCTTTGCAACTGTGAATAGCACCACAAAGAACATACACATGGCACGTGTCTTTATGGTAGAACGACTTGTAGTCTTTTGAGTATATACCCAGTAATGGGATTACTGAGTCAAGTGGTACTTCAAGTTCTTTGAGAAATCTCCAGACTGCTTTCCACACTGGCTGAATTAACTTACCTTCCCACTGGCAGTGTGTAAGTGTTCTCTTTTCTCTGCAATCTGTCCAGCATCTTTCATTTTTTTGACTTTTTAATAACAGCCATTCTGACTGGTGCAAGATGGTATCTCACTGTGGTTTTGTCTTTCCCTAATGATTAGTAATATTCAGCATCAAAGACAATTTCTGTTACGAAAGCTTTGCAAATGCATATTCTCATGGCCATTTTATCCTTTGCCCCACTGCATAGAGGTTGCAGCATTTGAAAATTATCAAAAAGCAGCAGAGACAAGTTTGGGTGGTTTCCAGGGGAGAGGCACTGAAAGTGATTGATTCCTATCAAAAGCACAAGGACAGGGTAAGTGATTCTTTCTAGTAAATGACAGTAGAGATACAGCTGAACTGTAAGAATGTAATAATGGTCATGGCAAGGAAGGCTGATGAGTTCTAGGAAAAGCACATTGCTCGTGACCGGAGCCTTGGTTCTTGACTTTTTCAGGTCTGGTATCAGGCCATCACCATATCAAAGAATCTTAATACCACCATGGTAGAAGCCAAATTTTTACTTTTTGTCTTTATGATTAGCCACAATCATATTTATGTGTTTTTTGTCAACGCTCAATAATGGCAATGTAAACTCTGTCATATCTAGTTTACCCAAGTGTACTATTACCAGGTCATGCTCCAAAATTAGAGCATCACTATCAAGGGGCATATTGGGTCATAAGTACTATGCCCTAAATTCCACTTTGCTAAGGCCAACTGATCAAACAGCAAGCAAATACGAGAAAGGAGATTGAAACTGAATCACAAGAAATGTGCGTTCTACGTGCGGAAGTGGGATTCATTACAATCCGATGCACTGCACCAAAAGCATAGTGTGAAAGATTAAAAGAATAATTTAGGATTTCCTAATTAGATATCATTGTCTTCTCATCAGCAGTTCAAGTATAAAAAGACAGAGATAGATAAAGTAGGCACATTGGTAGCAATAAAATAGCAGTGACTAACACCAACTGTTACAGCAGGAAGCCCTAGGCATTGGGAAGCTGGCACAGAGGTTCTGGCTATGTCCTACAGTCAGTACCTTTCTGGAAACCCTCTGGAAAGAAAACAGCTGATGGGATCAGGGAAGATAGGACCCTACCAGACTAGATCAAGGACAAAAACCATCTCCTTCACTCAGAGTGATAGATTCTGTCCACCGTCAGAATGTATAACAGGTAGTTCAAAGAGATTCATTTCCATGAATTTCCTTTGAGTCCAAATTCACTTTTTAGTAAGATAATACATGCCTCCATTGTATTATTTTTTCCTATGTCTATGTTTGCCAAATAATGCCGTAAAGATCTCCATTTGTGAGTTTAAACATAAATAACTGAACTCAGATGAATTCTGCTGGTCACGTGGGGATGATCTAAGAACTTGGCAGGAATTGCTGTGATCGCATCTTCAGGCTGCTAGTCATAGACACCTGTTATCACTGGAAAAAGGACTCTTCAGTCACAGACCTTAATGTTTCCTGTCTTATGCTGGCAGAGACATCTGCACACAGAACCTTTGTTAGTCCAATTTTTTTTGCACAAATTTGTTATTTTGTGGAAGTTCCCAGTAAACACACACATGTGAGAGCACACACAAGAACTTGTCTACATCACTACTCATTGGAAACATTTATTTTCTCTTCATTTCTGCTCCTCTTCAGAGGAAAAAAAAATTCGTGCAGGATAAGGTACCATTGCTTGTCAATCGCTTTCTAAATTTGGAATCAGTCCAGAAAGCCCAGGAGGGATCTCAACTCAGCCACAGTTAATCTTCAGAAAATCCATCCCACGTGACTTCCCCCACACCCCTCCCCCCCCATCAGCGCTGATCTTTTCATGTATTCTTTATAAGGAATCCGTTGAACTTTAATTAATATGAAAAATTCAGGTTTTCATCTGATTTAAATGTGTCTGACATCACGCTGCTGCTAAAAGCAGAACAAAGTACAAGCATGGTGAAAATAAAACTTAAAACTTGGTGCCTATTTTTTCACCGCAAATCATCTCTAGCACTTTCATGAGGCAGGAGAGAAATGTACCCACAGCATTTTCTAGGAGTCTTCATGTCCGTATGTATGAACAGGGACATGCTTGAAAAATGTCTGTACACAGGCAGGAACACGATTTTCTCTGTCACATCAGTCAGCAATCTTTAGCTCTAAACGTTCCATTTAAAAATGACTGGAGTGACATAGTTAAAGGTATAGAATTCCAAAAGGGTTAACGTGGTAGTGAGGAAGAATTCTTCTGAAATGAAAACACACACTCATCTGCCATTCGTACACATGCACCACCTCCTTGCATTCAGTGGATTGTTCAAAATAGGCACAAATGTGCTCCTAGAAGGCGTTAGGGTTCTGCTTGCTACAGATCAGGCTGCTCTCATGTTTATGGATTCTACTTATCCATGGGTGTAGTAGAGGATGTGTGTCCTGATGTTGAGACAGCTTTGTTACAAGGACTGTCATTCTGCCTTCTCCATAGAACCTAGTGTACTATCATAGCATCACATGAAAACCTAAGAAGTGACTACAAGAGCACAATCAGTGCATTTTTGAAACATACAATACATTGTTAACTGTAGCCGGAGTTGATAAATATCCTAAATATGCTGACTTCATCAATACCTGTTCTATGCAAGAAAATGTGTTCTCTGTAAATATGTGCCAGTGTTATGTATCAATATAAATAATGCATTTTTCACTGCAATAAAATATATCAATTATTGAGCTTTATCTTTTTCTGAGATAGGGTCTTGCTCTGTCACCCAGGCTGGAGCGCTGTGTTTGACCACAGCTCACTGCAGCCTCAAACTCCTGGGCTCAAGTAATCCTCTTGAGTAGCTTGGGCTAAAGGTGTGGGCCACCATGCCTGGCTTTTTTTTTTTTTTTTTTAATACAGCCAAAGTCTCACTATGTTGCCCTTGCTGGTCTTGAACTCCTGGGCACAAATGATCCTCCCACCTAAGCCTCCCAAAGCACTGGGATTCCAGGTGTGCGTCACGGTGATAGGTCCCTGATAAAACTTTACAGTTATTGGTTAAAAAAAAAAATCCTTCTCCACCATGATATGGTGTATGTGGTTGGCTTTCCTCCTCAATGTGTCTTCTTCAGAAGACTTTCAGGATCCAGTAACTCCTGGCCAAGAATCAAGCAGAACCCATTCTCCAGGAGATTAGGATGAGAACTGGTCATAAAGTCAGGTACAGTTCCACAAGCAGACGTGGGAGAAGAGCCAAGTTTCACCTGTGAGGTCTTGCATGTGAAATGGCTCACATATTCATGGCAGCCACCCACAGGGTCTTTAGCATCTTACCATATCAAACTGAAAAAATCAGCACAATCTAGATCATTGGACAGGTTTTATTGATAAAATAATGACATTTTTATTTGTATTTATACTTATCTAGTAGGTTTGTTCAGTAATAAATATGTGAGCTCTGTGGCTTGGGAAAAAAAGTTTTAATTAGGACTTTGTTCTAACTCTGCCTATTGGCCTTGATCAAATTACTCTATGTTCATTTAACACCACTTCCCACTGTTATATGGGGAGAAGATGGGTCATCTCTTACCATATACATGTGAGTAAAGCTAATGTGAATTTTTGGAAACTCATTTAAATTAAATTCTGAAAGGGTTAATCTCATTAAATGATTCTGAAATTCTGGCAAGCATATTTAAAATGTAAAGCATCTCAACTTCTTTTCAGTTCCGTACCAATGTTTTCCTTTTTTTTTTAACCCTGTAACTTCTGATACGTATACAAGCTACCCTTTACCATACATGTACAAACAGGTACACACAGGTATCAGAGACTTTTGAAAATTATAGTATAAATAAGCAGCATTGAGATAGTTTTATTTTAATGTGATTGTGTTTCAAGGAATATGTATCCGAAGGTAAGAACCACAGGTTGGAGTTGAGTCAATGTTCATCTTAGTTGTTGAGTAGTTAGAGTCTTGAATTAAATATATACAGAGTGCCTCTGCCATTTCCTGATTATTTTTGTTAATGTTTTGGTAAATTCAGTGGGCATTTAAGTATGATTGTCTTAACGCTGTATTTCTATCAAAGCTTTCAAAACCTACAGGGATATGACTATAGTTTGAGAGGCTGGGGTTGGTAAACAACTCACTGTGAGTTTCTTGTATTTCTGTGCATCTTGCAGGCAGAGGCACTACCAGCCTTTAGTCTAGATTCTCTAGTCAAGGATGTGTGTTTGGCAAACAGTCTTGGCAAATAGAGATGGTTGCTGTCTACCTCTACAGCAAAGGGCAGACATGCTTGCTGTTCAGTGTAATGAAGTTAGCATCTCTCTATGGGGCTAAGGTCATGCATATTTATTGCCAATTATAGAAGATTTCTGTTTTCTAAACTCAGGGTTCTTTTCCTAAAATCCAATGAACTGTATGTGGTTATTCCCTGGCTCTCTGTTGCCCGGTGGGAACCAGAGCTTGAGAAGCCGGCACAAGAAATGCTGATGCTCTGATTCTGCTCTTACCATGAGCAGTAAGCTGTCCTTTTTCTCTGACCCAGGAGTCTGTGTCATTAGCTAGAGCATCGATGAAACTGTCAGGCTAACTTATGCACTTGCAAGTAGGGTAAAATCTCATATTCTCGACTGTTCTTGACAGATACGTGTGTGGTCCAGTAGGAATGACGATTTCCTAGTTGTTACAGTACCATTTTTTATGGAAATTACAGATCAGAAATATTTTCTTTGGACTGATACAGTAAGCCTATGGTATGGACCAGAGATTACGAAATTGCCATCTGTAGGCTGAACCTGGCCTGCTCCCTACAAAAACTTTGTTTTTGTAAAGAAAGTTTTATTTGAACAGAGCCACGTACATCATTGATATGCTGGCTATGTCTACTTTCATGTTATCACAGCAGAGTGGAGTAGGTGCCACAGAAATCCTGTGGCCCTCACAGCCAGAAATATTTACTACCTGGCTCTTTAGAGAGAATGCTTGTCAATGTTTATTAGAGATCAGAGGCAGCAATCAAAAATTCAAGCCATCATGAGCTGCTCTAGGAATATATGAGGTAGAAATGAAAGTAAAATAACAGTTGCATGATAGGATAAGAGTTTAACAAAATTAGCAAGAAAAAAACAAACAATCTCATTGAAAAGTGGGCTAAGGTCATAAACAGTTATCAAAAGAAGATATACAAATGGCCAAGAAACATACAAAAAAAAATGCCCAACATCACTAATGATCAGGGAAACGCCAATTAAAACTGCAAGGTAATGCCACCTTCCTCCTTCCAAGAATGGCCATAATCAAAAAATCAAAAAATAATAGAAGTTGGCATAGATGCAATGAACAGGGAACACTTCTACACTGCTGGTGGGAATATGATAGAGTACTACTCAGCCATAAAAAGGAATGAATTAATGGCATTCACAGCAACCTGGATGAGATTAGAGACTATTATTCTAAGTGAAGTAACTCAGTAATGGAAAACCAAGTATCACATGCTCTCAGTCATAAATAGGAGCTAAGCTATCAGGATGCAAAGGCATAAGAATGACACAATGGACTTTGGGGACTCAAGGAAAAGAGTGGGAAGAGGGGTGAGAGATAGATAAAAGAATACAAAATGGGTGCAGTGTACACTGCTCGGGTGATGGGTGCACCAAAACCTCACAAATAACCACTAAAGAACTTACTCATGTAACCAAACACCACCTGTTCCCCAATAACCTGAGGAAATAAAAAATTTTTAAAAAATGGGTTGCAGTTTAACAGCAAAGTACAGATAAATATATTGACTGTATATACTATATTTCTACAGTGTATTCAACAAATATTTGTTGAACTACAGTTGCATATTCAGATCTTGCAAGACTCAGCTCATCTCTCTCAAAGAAGCTGACTCTAATTCTATATTAGACAATTTATTTTTTCTCCTCAGAGCTTCCGTAGCACCTTATCTGAACATCTTTTATAACCAATTTTCTACTTTACATTACAGTGTTTATGTACATTGATTTATCCTGCTAGACTTAAGGTAAAATTTATAACTGTAAATGTATTCACAAACTTATTTCCATGATCCAACTTTCAGGATAAGGATCAACTTTTAGAAAATTGAGAAATTAATTTGAGCCACTTTCTTTAACAGTAGGAATCATTAAAATTGGATTTTTATACTATAAGATTAAAATAGCAAATTATGCCCTTACAGTAAAACATTCAATATGCTCTAATACATTGTCTTTGTAGAATATTTCTCTTTCTAATTACATTTCTTAAAGTCTAATTGCATTTCCTTAGCTGATTTCAATTTAATAAAGGAGGAATGTAACAGAATGGAATTATACCTATTGGCAAGGGAAAAGATATCTACAAATCGATTCTTCTTGAGAGGATGGGGATGGAGAAGATACAAAAAAAGATATCACTAACTCTTGGGCTGGGTGCAGTGGCTCATGCCTATAATCCCAGCACTTTGGGAGGTCAAGGCAGGTGTATCACAAAGTCAGGAGATCGACACCATCCTTGCCAACATGGTGAAACCCCGTCTCTATTAAAAATACAAACATTAGCTGGGTGTGGTGGCATGTGCTGAAATCTCAGCTACTTGGGAGGCTGAGGCAGGAGAATCACTTGAACCCGGGTGGCAGAGGTTGCAGTGAGCCAAGATCGTGCCACTGTACTCCAGCCTGGCAACAGAGTAAGACTCCCATCTCAAAAAAAAAAAAAAAAAAAAAAAGAATAAGGAGGGGCAAACTTGCTCTCAGTCTTTTAAGATGTGTTAATTTTTCAGGCAAACCTCATTATTGCATGATGCCCTCAAATTAATCTCACTCTAAAGTAATCATGACATATCCCAGCTGCTGGTCCAGAGCTCTGGGGGTTCAAATAAAGGCTGGAACCTCTTCACAGAGGCCAGCACCTTGGAGGAGGACAAAAGGCATGGTGGGAGGAGAGTTCTCAGTAACTGACATACACTCTGGTTTTATCTTTTCATTTTACATCATTTAGTTTCACTCTGTCCTTAAAACTAACAAAAGTTAAACTTTCACAGCCAACAGGTTAGAAAGGTGCAAAAGTTTCCATTAACAAAGAATGATACAAAGTAAGGTAGAAATTCAAGAATATTAAACACGTCAGCCTCTCATATGGGACAGAAATTAGAGAGTTTAAGGGCAAGTGAACTTGTCAGGTCTCATGTGTTTGTACAAACACAGAGCTAAGAACAATTAGATGCTAGAAGAGATAATACTGAATTACTGTTGATATCCTAAGGCCAAAACTTGGCTTACCACTCTGGCAGTCAAAGGCTAGTATCACCTTCATGTCTAATAACTACAAAAGCGGAAGGAACACATTTTTCATGTGCGGTTTCCATATCCTATAGAGACAAGGTTTGTTCTTGAATTTTTGGTTAATTCTTACCAGCCTCCAAATTCTAACAGAGTAAAACTATTTTTAAGGGAAGAACAAATGGGACGTGCATATTTTACGAGGCTTCTAGCATGTTAGGATTAAGCAATGTGGTGTTGAGAAAGAAGTGATCGTATTTATGTGTGACAACTCTACTAACCTGTCAGTTACTTCAAGTTCAAAACTATTGACTTTTGCACACATCCCCCCAAAAATTTACCTGTAAACATTACTAATATATCATAGGAGCTGATGAAATGCATATGTATTGAGTCAGTAGCATTGATTGATATGGCTATAGAAATAAATGTTCATAAACCTATGGGTAAAATAAAACTTATTCTAATTTTTTCTTTCTACTTTCATCTATAAAGGCCAGACAGATTCAACTGTGTTTTTATTGCTTGCATGTAGTGTGCGTGCACCAGTAGAAAGTCAGTACCAGGCCAGTAAATGGGTATCAGCTCAGATTGTATAATTGTCATTGGGCTGATGTTCAGTTCCATTTGAAAACTAACTGTAGAGCCACCAATTTTGTAAGGAAGTTAGCAATTTTCTTTGTTAATCAAACTATCCATATCCCAAACCAAAATATTACCTTCCTCCTGAAACTGGTACCTATTTCAGCAACATCCTCCCCGTTTCCAAGACTTTAAATCTGTGAGTTGTCTTTGACACCTGCCTCTCTTTAGTGTTCCTACCTATTCCATTCTGACTCCTGTGACTTTCACCTTTATTCAGGTTTTTGAATACATTACAGGTTGATTAATCCCAGTTCAAAACTGTCATGTGAAATTCTCCGAAATCTGAACCCTTTCTGAGTACTGACATGACACTCAAAATGTTCATTGGAACATTTTGTATTGTGGTTATCAGATTCTGGGTTTGGGATGTTCAATGGGTGAGAAAGCATAATGCTAATATTCCAAGAATCCTAAAACTTCTGGTCTTAAGCATTTTGGATAAGAAATTCTCAACCTATACCTCAATTTCATTTCCTCTACCACCATTTCAGATTTAGACCATCACTGATTCTGCTTTGAGTTGTTGTAATGAATTCCAGTTGGCTTTTAGTCTAGACTCTTCCCTCTCCAATCTAATGAACAGTTAGTTCTTCCAGGCAGATCTTTTATATATGCTCCTTGTACAAAATGATTTAATGACTCCCTACTGCCTAGTAAATAAACTCCATTCTTCACATATTTTAACGAAAGGCTTTCTAAAACTTAGCCTTAGCTTTATCTAGTAATGATCTCAGTGGTTATAATCAAGACCCCTCACTTCCCAGAGTCTCTTTTTCTCACTTTCAAAATGCAGAGGTTAAAATTATTTCCTTTTTTTGTTTACTATTTGATGATTTTGTACTTTAATTGTTTTTAGGGTAAAATGTGTATTACATATTAAACAACTTGCATTTCTTGTTACTCCCAAAATATGATCTACAGCAGAGGGTTTCTCAACATTTTGGGGATTTAGAGTATTTTTGAATGTTTGGTGAAAGCTGGGGACTTTCCCAGAAAAATTGCATGCAGAATTTCATGGGGGTAGTTGTGTGGACTGTGAGGACCTGTGGAATTACTCGACACTTTCCTGAATTAGGCCTCTTTTCACCCCATTCTATGTATCTACATTTTCCCAATATACCCCAGGTAACTGTTGAAACCTAACTCAAATGCAATATCCTGAGTCCTATTTAGTTTCATTTATTAGATATGAATGACTCATCCTCTAAACCCTATAGCATTATTTTGTGTGCCTATCTCAATACCTATGGCATTCTGACTAATATGTCATTCTTCATGTGTTTCCCTCTAATTCCATCTGTGTTGCAAGAGGCTTGCAAGCAGGGCCAGTGTCTCCCCTCTTTGCTTACCCTATACTCTTTACACCACCCCGTCACCCTGAGGTCACCCTTGAACGTTAAAGATATTCCATGAGCATCTATCTATTAAATCAATAAATGAAGGACCAGAGGAACACTTTTAAAAACTAACTTTACGTTTACTTACGTATTTAAATTTAATTATATATTCATTTGTATTTAGAAAAATGACACAATGCCACTGTTATTACCTCCAACTTGTTAAAATATCCTTATAATAAAGAACTGGAAATAAAAAGTGAAGATGGGCTATCTGGAAGTGGTTCCGCTATAGAATTTCATGGAACATTTCTGAGAAAGGCTAGATTTTTGTCCAGATTCTATGGCAAAATAGCGTTACTGCCTACGATAATAAGGTCAACTTTCACAACCAGTCTGTGTGTTACATGTTGTACATTACATTCACAATTCAAAATGTTTAACTTTAGAAAACTTTCTTTGTAACCTCGGGGAAAATAAAACAACTTGTATCCTTGTGTCCTCTGTTCTTCAAAGTGGTACCTTAAAGATCGGAAAGAGTTCATACAGCATTTTGCAAAAGCACCATTTGCTTTCCAAGGTGGTGTTCTTGGTTTGTATTGAGGACTAGGTAAATAACCCTTTTTGCCATAGAATCTGGACAAAAATCTAGCCTTTCTCAGAAATGTTCCATGAAATTCTATAGTTGATCCACTTCCAGACAGGCCATCTTCACTTTTTATTTCCAGTTCTTTATTATTAGGATATTTTAACAAGTTGGTGGTAATAATAGTGGCATTGTGTCATTTCTCTAAATACAAATGAATATATAATTAAATTTAAATATGTAAGTAAATGTAAAGCTTGTTTTTAACCCTTTCATGCTATGCATTTCTTCCAAGGAAAATAGCTGCAACCCATTTCCTACTATTATGTTACACTCTTATCCCCATTAGTCAATGATTTATGTTTTTAAATTAAATTACAATAATTACTCTGATTTCCTGCTGGTCTTGAGATCAACATGTTCCTGGGCAATTGGATACATCCCAGCTTACAGAGACTCTATCCTGAGCTCTTCTATATTAGCTTGTTCACGTTTGTGACTATATACATCGAATGTCTCCTACTAAGGAGGAATCTTAGCCAAAATCCCCAATCCTACATGGCTTTTATCAGAAAATTGCACTTGTTCCATGGTTTATGTAGTGATCTCAGATCCATTCACTCCTTCAATAGATTCTTTAGACATATCTATTAGAGATTTCTGAAAAATCTATTTTGTACAAAATTAATATGGTAGAATAACCTAAACTTTTTTTTCCTCTTTAATTGGGAATGGGTGGGAATAGAAGTGATATGCTTTGGATCTGTGTTCCCCACCCAAAGCTGTTAAATCATAATCCCCAGTGTTGGAGGCGGGGCCTGGTAGAGGTGATGAGTGCATGCTAGTGGTCTTTCATGAATGGGTTAGTACCATCCCCTTGGTGCTGTTTTTCATGATAGCGAGTTCTCACAAGATCTGGTTGTTTAAAAATGTGTAACACTGGCTGGGCACAGTAGCTGGGAGGCCAAGGTGGGCAGATCACCCAAGGTCAGGAGTTCAAGACCAGCCTGGCCAACGTGGTGAAACCCCATCTCTACTACAAGTACAAAAATGAGCCGGGCATGGTGGCATCTACCTGTAGTCCCAGCTACTCAGGAGGCTGTGGCAGGAGAATCGCTTGAACCCGGGAGGCGGAGGTTGCAGTGAGCTGGGATTGCCCCACTGCCCTCCAGCCTGGGCAACAGAGCGAGACTCCGTTTAAAAAAAAAAAATATATGTAGCACCTCCTGTCTTGCTCTCTTGCTCCTATTCCTGCCATGTAAGAAGCTCACTTCCCTTTGCCTTCTGCCATTATTGGAAGCTCCCCCAAGGCCTCCCCAGCAGATACCACTATGCTTTCTTTACAGCCTACAGAGCGGTGACTCAATTAAGCCTTTTTTTAAAAAAAAATAAATTACCTATTCTCCAGTATTTCTTTACAGCAATATGAGAATGGACTGACACAGGAGGTAAGCCATATGTGGCATAAAAATAACCTCATCTGAGCTCATGCTTACAATCCTCATTGAAGGATGAGGAAGAAGACATGGATAGTTATATGGTGGTTCTTTCAAGGTAAGACGGGCCCAGAAAAGAATCAGTATTCCTTAAAACAATACTGTTGTGGTTTTTGTTTTCCAGAAGCTAGAGTCATCCTAACAAGAGTGATAGTCTTTCCCCAAGTGAGACCAGGCTGTGCTGTCTGGGGAAAAGCATTGCTGGCCTTGTCGAGATGCACCGACGACTCAGCTCAGCTAAGGACTTAACCAGTACAGGACTTGCTGCAGCGGAGCCTGAGCTGGATATGGAAAGCAAAAGGTGAGTCCTGAATTCTGAAACACAGGCCTGAGGGGTGGAGGGAGGCAGATTTGAAGGAGAGGAGGAACATTTATAAACACTCTTCTTTGGATCCAGAAAGGGAACACTTTTCACAGAATGCCTAACTCTACATGGTCCCCTTCTGATGTTGGGAATAAATAAGCTAAACACAAGTTTAGTTAGCTAAGAAATATAACTCTCTATATACCCATTAAGATTATATAAATTATATATTTCTTACCCTGTATTATACTTTAAAAATACTGTCAAGTATATCTAATTTATTTGTTGAGACGGTCTCACTCTGTTGCCCAGGCTGGAGTGCAGTGGTGTAATCCTAGCTCACTGCAGTCATGAACTCCTGGGCTCAAGTGATCCTCCTGCCTTAGTCTCCTGAGTCACTGGGTCTCCAGTCACGCACTACCCTACCAAACTATTTTATTTTTTTAACTTTTTGTAGAGCTGGGGACTTGCTGTCTTGCCCAGGCTGCTCTCAAACTCCTGGGCTACTTGACTGTTGCATAGAAAACTATGTCCTTCTATTGAATGTTTTGTGTTTGGTGAGCAAGACTGGAGCAGCGGGATGTTTTTGGGTAAAGGAGGGTGGCATTTCCTTTCTTGGTCATCTTGCATGGTTCTCACAGAAAAGAAAATCCACTGCCCCTACTCCTAGAGAATAAAAAATTACAAGTGGAGACACTGCAGATGCTGGCAGTGGTCAACAAGCCTTCATCCCCCCAGTTGAGGACTGTGAGACCAAGTTACCCGGCATAAAAGAGGGCTTCTCAAGTCTATGTTACACTGGCAGCTTTGAGGAATGATGTAAGGAGGCTTTTCAGACAGGAGGAACTATCCTTAGTGAAACTGTCTACAAAGAGCCCATTACTTCTTTTACACAACTCACGACTTCCTACAATAGGTATCAGCGCCCCTAAGCAACCTTTCTTAAGCAGAATTTAGTTATGAGGTTCATGAAAGGAATGAATATTCAGACTTTCTAATGAGGCTCTGCATGAGAGATGTGATTTCTGGAAGGAAAATCTGAATTCAGTCAAGATGACAGTGGGGTTTTTGCCAGTGTAGGTGTTATGGCTGCTGGCAGTTCTGGAAGGCCAGAACTGGGATGCTGGGGGACGATGTGTGTGGGCCACGAAGCCTTCATTCTGCTTTCCTGATGTGTAATGACCCCTAATTCAAACCCGTAGGGATTAGGGGCTGGAGCATGCTGAATCAGACGTGAGATTTGTTTCTATCGTTTTCTCATGATCAGAAGCAATCTCTCCTCCTTGTGAAGTGTTCACATCCTCCCACTTCCTCTCCCTGCTGAAGTCAAGCACAGATCTGCAGTGGAGCCATAAAAACAGTTGGGTAACTTCATCTAGGCAGCCCAGAGTTTGTTCAAAAGGATTGACAGGGTCTGGCAATTATGACTCAAGTCAACTGTGGAGTGACTGAGAATGACAGACATCTTTCCCCATCCTCTTTCAGGAATTAGTGGGCTTCCTATGACATGTGTAAAGCTTAGAAGTTGTGAGATGTGGGAAGGGCATTGGAGCAGTTCAAGATGTTCAGAACCTCTAGTTTCCTGAAATAACTGGGAGCAGCCTGCTGGCCTGGCTGACATCTATGATGTTTTCATGTGGCTGAATGGTTACCTGGGTTTAGAGAGAGAGAGTCCCTGAAGGAATCATCATTATGGTTTGATAGGCATCAAAATGTGCACGAAGTGGTACAGCAACTCCTAGAAGAAAACACTGGGGCCAAGCTCCATGACATTGGTCTGGGCAATTATTTTTTTAAAAAGTGACCCCAAAAGCATAGTCAATAAAAGCAAAAATAGACAAATGGGGTTACATCAAACTAAAAGTTTCTACATAGCAAAAGAAACAATCAACAGAGTGAAGAGACAACCTGCAGAATGGGAGAAAATATTTGGAAACCACACATTTGATAATGGGTTAACATCTAAAATAAAGAACTCAACAGTAAGAAAACAGCCCAATTAAAATGGGCAAAGGATCTGAGTAGGTATTTCTCAAAAGAATATGTACAAATGGCCAACAGGCATATGAAAAAATGTTTAACACCACTAATCTTTGGGGAAACGCAAATTAAAGTCACAATAAGATATTACCTCACCCCAGTTAGAAAGACTATTATCAAGAAGACAAGAGATATTGAGTGTTGGCAAGAATGCAGAGAACAGAACTCTTCCACACTGTCGGTGTAAATGTCCATTAATGCAGCCATTATGGAAAACAGTATGGGGGTTTCCCAAGATATTAAGAATGAAACTATCTGCAATCCCACCATCCAAAGGAACCAAAATCCATAGGTCCATAGGTCAAAGGGGTGTCTGCACTCACATGTAATGGTAGCACTATTTACAATAGCCAAGATAGGGAATCAACCTGTGTCCATTGACAGATGGAGAAAGTGTGCTATATACACACGATGGTATACTACTTACACTACTTCCTTAAAAAAAAAAAAAAAAAAGAGGAGGTCGAGGCGGGCGGATCACGAGGTCAGGAGATCGAGACCATCCTGGCTAACACGGTGAAACCCCGTCTTTACTAAAAATACAAAAAATTAGCCAGGCATGGCGGCAGGTGCCTGTAGTCCCAGCTACTCGGGAGGCTGAGGCAGGAGAATGGCATGAACCCAGGAGGCGGAGCTTGCAGTGAGCCGAGATCGCGCCACTGCACTCCAGCCTGGGTGATGGAGCAAGACTCTGTCCCCCTGCCCCCCCAAAAAAAGAAATAGAAGGAATTTTTTTTTTTGAGACAGGGTCTTACTCTGTCACCCAGACTAGAGTGCAGTGGTGTGATCAGGGTCTTACTCTGTCACCCAGACTAGAATGCAGTGGTGTGATCAAAGCT
This sequence comes from Homo sapiens, assembly GCF_000001405.40. Lineage (NCBI taxonomy): Eukaryota > Metazoa > Chordata > Mammalia > Primates > Hominidae > Homo > Homo sapiens. The sequence continues at coordinate 10,419,715 of NC_000010.11, read as the reverse complement.
CACTGCAACCTTGACCTCCCAGGCACAAGTGATCCTCCTGCCTCAGCCTCCTGAGTAGCTGGGACTACAGGCACACACCACCATGCCCAGCTAATGGTTTTGTTTTTTATTTTTTACAGAAGCAAGATCTCCCTATGTTGCCAAGGTTGGTCTGGAACTCCTGAGCTCAAGTGATCCTCCTGCCTCAGCCTCCTAAAGTGTTAGAATTATTGATGTGAGCCACTGCATGTGGTCAATTCTGTCATTCTTGACAACAAGGATGAAGCTGGGAGATACTGTGCTGAGTAGAATAAACCAAGCACAAAAAGACAAGTGCCTCATGAGCTCACTTATATGTAGAATCTGTAACAGTCGAACTCATCAGAGAGCAGAATAATGGTTACCAGGGACTAGCAGTAGGCTGGAGGGAGAGGTGGGGAGGTGTCGGTGAAATAATATAAAATTTCAGTTAGAAAAAATAAGATTTAAGAGATCTATTGCACAACATGGTGACTATAGTTATTAACACTGTATTATATTCTTGAAAATCACTAAGATTTTAATATTCTCACCACAAAAAATAAGCATGTGAGGTAATGCATATGTTAATGGCTCAATTTAGCCATTTCCAATGATTAAATATTTGAAAGCAGTTATATACCATAAATGTGTACCTTTTTAATTAAAAAAATTATTTTCTAGCAGGATGCTCTGAAATTGGAACTGAATATTACTTAAACCTTGAAGTCTGGGAACAGGGACATAGTGCTTTTCCAAAACTGCCAGAAAGGTGTCTCTTAATGCTCTATGGATAGAAGTGGCCACCTGTCTTACAGGCTGACGCTGGAGCCCAGCAAAAGTTATTTTGGTAGACCCTTATTGTTTAGCAATGCAAAAAGAGAACCTACTTACTTTCTTTGTATTAACTCTGGATACTGATAAACTAAATAAAAATACCTTGGCCAGGGATATTAATTATTTTGTTTATTCATATAAAAGCCTGTTCCATGCTTGATTTTTCACGTGCTTTAAGGGACACATTACGCAACAGAAGAGAGGCCTGCTGTTCCCTCCCTGAAACTTTCGAATCAACCACTTCCTCCATTTACTGTAGCTCTGTGGAGACTGAAAGGAACATAAAAGCCCGTGCAACACAATGCTGATTCTATCGAATATTCTGCCTCATCCAACCCTCCCTAGCCCAGAGTAATTGTTCTCTCTTTTGAGTCACTAAGCTCTCATTTGGCACTTTGCATTTGAATCTTTTTATTTCATGCACTGCCTCAGCAACAGGATTGTCATTCACTTCGACTCCACTCAGCTTAAAATATTTATTTTGTGCCTACCACAGTCCAGGGACTGTGAGGCACTGGTGATAAATAGAAGACAACTTGGTCCCTGGCTTCTAGTAAATTAATTCATATACAGGTGAAGAGACTGGCACACAATCCAAGCACAGCAGACTATGTGTAACAAGAAAGAATGACCAAGGTAACAGGTAGCAAGGCAAGAAGATACAGGGTTCAGGGCATCCCTTAACGGGGTGTCACCTGTGCTAGGCTCAGGGCTGAGTTGAAGTTCCTTAGGCAGGGGCAGTGGAAAAGAAAGGAAGGGAAATTATATTTCAAGTGGAAGGAAAGCAAGTAAAAAGAAAGGACTGGAATATGCACTATGTGATCCATGTAGGGAAATGGAAGTAGTTTAGCACCAATAAAGCATAAAAGATAAAATAGTGAAGATCAGCAGGAAGTAATGCTTAGACTCAGATGACAGACTTTAGTTTATTTTATTACAGGATCTGGATTTTATCCTAGGGCTGATGGGAAGTTATGCGATGGTTTGGGTAAGTTAGCAACAGACATTATTATGAGTTAAAACATGGAAAATGAATTAGAGGACGACTAAGACATGACTAAGATGGAGGCAGCTGGGAGTTAAAGACATGTTTAGCTAACACAGCCTGAAGAATCTGGTGAGTATTTACAGACCTGAGGGTGGGGACAGGGAAGTGTCTAGAGCCATTCTCAAGTCCTACCTTGATGTACGTTGGTGCCACTAACAAGGAAAGGAATGAAATAAGAGGTCAAGAACCTCTTTGTAGGTGAAAATAAGTTCATTTTGGACCTTTTCAGTTAAAAGTTTACATCTTTGCACTCCAGGGACAATCTGAGACTACCTCCCAGGAGGCAATCAGAGGTGCAAATCTGGGCTGCTGGGAGGAATGCTCAGTGTGTGTCTCTTCCTGCTTCTCCTCTGAGCCAGCCACTGGGCCCTGGCTCTGCAGCTATCCACTCCGGGCTTTTGATGATGTAGGAATTATGGAGATAATGATGAATCTTTAATCAGTTGGATACTTTATCCACTTATGGCATTGTTTAGGTAAGGCCGAATGTTTTTTCCAAGGCCTTGGGCCTGAAGTAACTTGGTTGTCTCCATGAATTCATTCACCCTCTCTGTTCTGTCATCTCCTTTGATGTTTCCTTTGTTTGCAGCAAGAGGCTCTAACTAGTCTCTCCTGGGACCCACAGGGTCCACGAAGTGATGTGGTGCAGACACAGGGTACCGTATTTCTAGCTGTTGCCACGATGAAACAGGTGTCTCTAGAGCATGGGACAAAGGATTCTCCCAAGACTGAGGGGTAAAAATATTGCTTAAAGCATCACCCACAATCACACTTTTGCCTTAGGGACTCCATCAGGTGCTATAGTTTTTAAACATTTTCTGTATTCTAGCAGACCAATGATCCATCCAGTTCAAAATCTAAAGCCTCCGAAAATGTATTTTTTGATAGATGCCTAAAATTAAAGTGTTAATCTGTGGGGACAAGCAGAAGAAATTTGACTCTGATTGCTCTGAATGCCCAATTATTTTTTCAGAGATTGATCTTAGAAGTAAATGATCAACTGACTTTTCCAAGTTAGACATATTTTTGTCAGGTAGTAATGTGGTACCTAGAATCGTTTTTCAATTGGCTGTCAAAATTAAAAAGAAAGACTGCCTCCTTGAAGGTAGCCAGAACATTTCTGTTGTCTCTGAGCACGCTGGTGGGGTACTTTGGAGTTAGTGTTGCACTAAGCTTTATGGCAGGGGGCAAGTGATAAAAACTGGGGTAGCCAGAGGTCCAGCTACTGCTGTGATAAGGATGAGCTCTAGCCTGGCATCAGCCCAAACCAGCTGGGTGGCAAGAGGTAGGGAAAGCTGATTTTGGTAGACAGGTAGAGTGAAAGGCGAAAACCAAACAAAGAAAACCAGAAACATAGGTGAGATGGGAAGAACTGAATGTGGAAGTAAAGGGACTTTTCTTTACCTGATCACACATTGTCTTTAAGTGCTTTTGTCAGTTTTGCTTTACGTATTTTCTTCTGCTGGAGTTTTATTTTTATCCTACTTATTCTCTACTTTCTTCTGGTTATTTTTCATTCTCTAGAGAATGATGATTAAAACTGATTTTATAGAGCAAGTATTTGTCGTATTAGTCCATTTTCTTACTGTTATGAAGAAATACCTGAGACTGCATAATTTATAAAGAAAAAGAGGTTCAATGGACTCACAGTTCCACATGGCTGGAGAGGCCTCCCAATCACGGTAAGAGGTGAAGGAGGAGCAAAACCACATCTTACATGGCAGCAGGCAAGAGAGCCTGTGCAGGGGAACTGCCTTTTATAAAACCTTCTGATCTCATGAGACTTATTCACGTCACGAGAACAGCATTGGAAAGACCCGCCCCCATGATTCAATTACCTCCTACCAGGTCCCTCCCATGACATGTGGGGACTATGGGAGCTACAATTTAAGATAAGATTGGGTGGGCACACCACCAAACCATATCAGATTTTCTTTAAATTAATCATTTATTAAACACAGCTCAAATTTGAAGTCACTGTGAGAGGTAGATACTAAGAGGATTTAAATAGGTAGTGTGCATTGTTTGTACCCTGGGCAGAATTTGTAATCTAGTGTGGAAGATAGAATATACACAAATGAATACATAGCAGAGCAGAAAGGGCTGAAAGTCTGGACAGTACAGTGGGAGCTCAGAAGCAAAAGGGATTACTCCTAGAGGAGAAACCAGAACAAACTTCAAAGGAGTGGCAATACTTTTAGCTTAGCAGAAATAACGGTCAGTATTGCAGTGGGTGGTAGCACGCAGGCAAATGCATGAGCAAAGCCACAGCGGTGGAAGACAAATAGCAGATCCAAAGAGATCCTAACAAAAGTTGTCTGAGTGGAATCACTCAGTCTTAAAATCTTAAAATCTTTCAGTTTATTTGTTTCCACAAGATTTTAATGTTATCATTCTTATTATTTTCCCAGAAAACACCAACACCCTCTATTAAAACCCTATACATCTAGTTATTATGTGTATCGCAAACATTAGTCTCAAACTTTTTTATAGCTTGATAACTAAAATATGGCCTTGTGATATTTGATTAACTTTAGATAATTGTAGCTGTATGTTTATTCTATCATAACAGTTGACACTTTATCAGGCATAACTTCTCCCTTGTTTGTAGGGGAAAACTACTACAACAAGAATATATTTGCATTGGGAGCTTGCCAGATTGAAAGTTAAAGATATCTTATCCAAATTGTAGATTACGATTTTTGTGAGTGACATTGAGGGAAAGAACAGAGATGAGACAAATATCAAAGTCTACCATCCCATCAGTTCACTGGCTATTTGGATTTTCCTTTCCGTGAAGTAGCTGTTTAATCTTTGGCCCATGTTTATGTAGGATTGTCTCATTTTCTCATTGTTTTGTAAGAGTTCTTTAAAATATTTGGATATGAGTCCTCTATAAAGTGTACATATTGCAAGTATGGTTGATTCTCATGATGTGTGGTAGTTATGGTCCATCAAGTTACCATGAACACTAGCAAATACAGAACCATTTTTCTGCATGGAAATACAGGGTTAGGTTACTATAAGCCTCTGGTCACCTTTTTTGTCAACTGATCAACGCATAACCTCGTTTTCTGTTTCAAGACACCTAACTTGATATGCATTGTTGATTCATTAATATAGAAATCACTGCTAATGGCACAACTGATGCCTAAAGGAAGCTTATCCAAAACGTGTACTTTCTCTGTAAGTCACATCACAACCCTCTAGAGCTTAGGAACCATAGACAGTACTACACTTGGTCATTTACAACAGCAAAATATCCAATAAAAAGCCCCAGAATACAAAAGATGTAGCCCTAAATATATCACACAAAGGGCACTCGCTTACAGAACAAGAGCCGACAGAAGGCAGAGCATCATATGACATCCTGTTCAACCTCACATGGAAATGTGTGTGTTGGGCGACTCAAATATTTTGCTGCTCTGCGTAAGTCTGTGAATGACTGAAAATGCTGTACTGATTTTGGGATTACAAATAAATTTTAGCAAGTAGGTGAATTCACAAGTTCAGAATATGCAATGAGGAGGATCGACTGGCTCACTCCAGTTTGCCGTCTTACACACTCTGTTGCCTTTTGATGGACAGAAGCTCTTAATTTTAATAAAGTTCAATTTCCCCAACGTTTTCCTCCATGGCTAATGCTGTGTGTGACTTGACTGCGAAAATTTGCCTGTATCAGGATCATGAAGAAGTTCTCCATGATTTTCTTCTGGAATTTAAATGTCTCACTTAGATGCATTTCCATCTAATTGATATTTTTGTATAATAGGATGTAGGGCTCATGATTTTTCCTTGATATTTGGCTAACCCATAACCATTTATTGCAAAGATTATCCTTTTCCTACTACATTGTGGTGCAAACTCTGCCATAGGTCAGTTGACTATGCATGTATGTGTGTGTGTGTGTGTGTGTGTGTGTGTGTGTATGTATGTGTGTATATATATATATATGTCATCTTACGAATTCTGTTTTGTTCCATTTGTTATGTATCTGAACTTGCACCAGTTGTAGACTGCCTTATTGACTGAACTTTAAAAGTAACTACTGGTGTTAGTAAGAAACTTTCGGATTTATCTTTTGAGATTATCTTAGCTATTCTTAGCCCTGTGTACATCTACATAAATTTTAGAGTAAGCTTATCAATTTCTGCATAAAGAGAGATTAGAATAATGTAGGACTGATTAGAATTGCATAGAATCTATAAATCAATTTGTAAAGAATTTGAGATATTGAGACTTCCAATCCACAAACATTTACTGGAGATTATTTAGATCTTAACTGTTCTTAGTAATGTTTTGTAATTTTAGTGGAAAATTCTTGCCACTATTTTGTGCTTGTTTGATTTTTCTGGAGCTATTATACATAGTATCTTTAAAAAGTTTTGTGTTGTTGGTATATAAAACTATAGTTAGTTCTTATATATTGGCCTTATATCTAATAACCTTGCCAATTTTACTCATTAATCCCAATATTCCATTTATAGTTTTTACATGTAAAACTTATAATTTACAAAATACATATGTATGTGTGCATATATATTAGCACAGGCAAAAATAGAAAAAAATGACCCTCAGTAGAGAACTCAAGCATATACAGGGATTTCATGTGAGAGTGAATATTGTATATGATCAGGGAAAAGTCATTTAATGTATTTATGTGTATAGTTAGAGACACGGTCTCCCTGTGTTGTCCAGGCTAGTCTGGAATTCCTGGGCTCAAGAGATCCTCCTACCTCAGCCTCCCAAAGTGCTGGAATTACAGGTGTGTGAGTCACCATGTCTGGCTGCAAAATGTATTATATTCCCCCCTTTTACCACTCTTCTATTTCTCTTATCTTCTTGCACTTGCTGGGACCTAGAGGATAAAAATGAATAAAACTAGGATAAACATCATCTTTTTCTCATTCACAAACAGGGAAATTTCTTCAATATTCCATTACTAATACTATGTTTCCTACAGAACTTCATAGATTCTCTCCATCAGATTAAAGACTTTAGGTTTTTGCTGGTTTGCCAAGAGGTTTTGGCCTAACTAAATGTTAAATTTTAATCAATGCCTTTTCTTATACATTGAAATGATATTTTTGTGTTTGAATGTGGTAATTACAGGGATTCATTTTCAAACATTAAATAGCTGCTTGAAATAAGCCTACGTTGGTCAAGATGGGTTATCCCCATTACATATTGCCAGAATATATTTTCTGTCTTGTTAGGATTTTTGTACCCATGCCCATGAAAGATAATGACTTGAGATACTTTTTTGTAATGCCATTTTCAGGCTTTGGTATCAAGATTTCTTTAGATTAGGTTTCCCGAGAAAAAGACTGAGACAGATTTGCTTGCAGGCAAACAACTTCTCTAGGGGAGTGAAGAAAGTTTCATTGTGTTATAGCTCACCAGAGGCCACGGATGATCTGAAGAAGTCCTTGAGCCTGGACGACCCCTCAGCATTGTCTGTGAGGCCAGAGGGATGGGCATTTATATCCTGAACAGCCCAGCCTTTGTACAAGGTTGCCCTGGGTTGGTATGACCTTGGAGAGATTGTAGCTCTCTTAGGCCACTAGAAATGCCCATGGAGGGACCCAGCTGAAAACTGTTAGCTGCCAACACTCAAGTCAAGGAGGCAGTCAATGACTAGTCAGGAAGGCAGTATGCTATACCATCTAGGAGAGTTCCACTGGCCTCATAAAATTAAATGGATCAAAAATGGTAGAAATAGAACTATATCTGTATACTGATGGGAATAATCTGGCACATATGAAAATTGAGAATTGAATAGAAACTTAAAAGTTGGTTCTTTGAAAAGAAAGGAAGACAAAACACAATGAAAAGAATCCTTCTCTACCCTCTAAAAAAAGAACTCCAAAAAGTACAAGGTGGAAACCAAAGGCATAATCATTTCCTCTATACATTAGAAACACTGAGAAGGCTGTAAGATTACATAATACTTAATTATATACCAATACCTTTGAAAATGAGGTGGATTGGATCATTTCCCAGAGAAATAAACCTGCAATTTGATTTTTCAATGTGGAGGTCATTGGTCATATTGACAAGAGCAGTATTAGTGAAGTGGTGAGAAAAGCTGATCCAAAGGCATTTAGAGATGATTAGAAGGAGAGGAAGTGGAGTAAAAACAATGCTTTGGATAATTTTGTGGGCCTAGGGAAATACAGAACTAGAATGGTAGCTGGAAAAATAAATAAAGTCAAGATAAGTATATTTTAAGATGGCAGAAATAGCATCATATTTCTGTGCTGATGGGAATAGTCTGATAGAAATGAAAAACTGATGCAAAAGAACAGTACAGAAATTGTTAGATGTTCTTTTTTTCTTTTAAAAATCAGGTTTCTTAGGTTGAATAGAGAGATGTTCCTGTCAAGGTAAAAAGAGATGGCAACTGGGTGCAGGAAGCACAAGACTGGCTTCCGATGGGAGCAGGAATAGTCATCAACACCTAGGCGTTCTGGTGCAGACACTGGTAGCTGAGAAAATTTGCTGTTTAGAGTCTTTGGAAATTTTCCTCTGATAATGTATTAATGGATGAGACAACTAAAGACGTAAATTCACTCCAAGTTGTTCTATAATTTAAATATATTTTAAGTCAAAATTAACAGTTTCAGTAGGATTTAACCACCTGATCCCAAATTTGCTTGACAAAGCAACTACAGGCCAATTTTGAAAAACAGAAAGGTGTGCGTGAGGGTTACTACTATGTAGCAATTTTTTTTTTTTATCTGTAGCAACTAAGATAGCTTGGTATTATCATAGGCATAGGTAAACAGAAAACAAAACAAAACAAAAAAAAACAAACAAAAAAATGACACTCAGTAGAGAACCCAAGCATAGGCAGGGGCTTAATGTGAGAGTGAATATTGTGTATTATTAGAGAAAAGTCATTTAATAAGCATTTGGGATAAATGAGTGTCCACATAAAGAAAATTAGATTCCTATGCCAAAGTGTCCACAAGAATGCCACATAATCCAATATCTAAATGGGAAGAGTTAATAACTGGGACTTACAGAGGAAAGATATGTCTATTCTCCAAAGTCTTCTTGTAAACACATATTACCTCCACCCCCAGGAAGGTCAGTCTTTTTCTCTATGCTCTTTTTTTTTTAAATTATACTTTAAGTTTCAGGGTACATGTGCACATTGTGCAGGTTAGTTACATATGTATACATGTGCCATGCTGGTGCACTGCACCCACTAACTCGTCATCTAGCATTAGGTATATCTCCCAATGCTATCCCTCCCCCCTCCCCCCACCCCACCACAGTCCCCAGAGTGTGATATTCCCCTTCCTGTGTCCATGTGATCTCATTGTTCAATTCCCACCTATGAAACACCATGGAATACTATGCAGCCATAAAGATGATGAGTTCATGTCCTTTGTAGGGACATGGATGAAATTGGAAATCATCATTCTCAGTAAACTATCGCAAGAACAAAAACCAAACACCGCATATTCTCTATGCTCTTTTATGCTCTAAATGGATTTGGATAATGAGGTATCTCTCACTATGGTCTCTGTGATGAAAAATAGTCATCAGTGGTGAATTGGTAAGAAAAATCCATTTTTAAATGGATTTATGGTGGCATTCACTAATACCCTGCTTCTACATGTTTTCCTCAGTGTAAATATTTTATGAAAAACGCCCATCTTGCTTGTCTGTGCTACATAATCATATATACCCATCTTTTATGACATAGTATGTCTGATGAACGTGTTTCATAAATACGTTGGATGCCTCCATCAGTGCATTAGCACTCCTGTCGGCATGAAGAAAGGAGTGCTCCATGTACCTATGTAACACACCTGTACATCTTGCACGTGCATCCTGGAACTTCAAGTAAAATAAAATTAAAAATAAGTTTTTTTCATCAAAGAGGAATACAATTTTGAAATTACTTGAAGGATTTAATGATCTTACCTGCAGAATTCTATCAGCTGTCTATTTATGATTGTTTGATAATTCACTTAAAATCTCAGGTTATTTCCAATTTTGGTATTGTATTGTTATTAAAACTATTATCTTAATAAAAGGAGTGATCTTTTGTCCTAAAATTCTTCCATAGAACTTTGTTTCCTTGTTCAGCCCTTCTCTCTTCCTGTGTCTGGTCCATTCCTCGTCTGGCTGATCCGTGCCCCACAGAGCTGGTCCATGCCCCACAGAGCTGGTCCATACCCCACAGAGCTGGTCCAAGCCCCACAGAGCTGATGCAAGTCCCACAGAGCTGATCCGTGCCCCACAGAGCTGGTCCATACCCCACAGAGCTGATCCATGCCCCACACTGCTGATCCAAGCCCCACAGAGCTGATCCGTGCCCCACAGAGCTGGTCCATACCCCACAGAGCTGATCCATGCCCCACACTGCTGATCCAAGCCCCACAGAGCTGATCCATGCCCCACAGAGCTGGTCCATACCCAAAGAGCTGGTCCATACCCCACAGAGCTGATCCATGCCCCACACTGCTGATCCAAGCCCCACAGAGCTGATCCGTGCCCCACAGAGCTGGTCCATACCCCACAGAGCTGGTCCATACCCCACAGAGCTGATCTGTGCCCCACAGAGTTGGTCCATACCCCACAGAGCTGATCCAAGCCCCACAGAGCTGGTCCATGCCCCACAGAGCTGGTCCATACCCCAGAGAGCTGATCCAAGACCCACAGAGCTGATCCAAGCCCCACAGAGCTGGTCCATGCCCCACAGAGCTGATCCATGCCCCACAGAGCTGATCCATGCCCCACAGAGCTGGTCCATGCCCCACAGAGCTGATCCAAGCCTGGAATGTCTTTGAAACCAATGGGAGTTCTGCAGGGGGCTGGGCAGGTGAAGCTGAGAAATGGGACCTTTGTAATTCTTGCCTCTGCACCTTGCAGGATTTGTCAAAATTTTTTGACTAGAGATCCAAATGCTTTCCTTTGAATTTTGTGAACTCCTTAGATCTCTGCCACAGACATTCTTCTTAAAGCACATCCAGCCAGATAATGATCTCCTGAGACTCCTACCTGCTTCAGGTCCACGCATTCCTCAGTGGGACTTGTTGGGAGGTGGTGTGTGCTTGATCTTTATTTCTGAAACTGAAGTTCCAGCTAAGAAATATTGAGGGCATCTAATTAGCATGAGAAGCACACATCACCTTCCATATACACCACTTTTTTCTTCTACATAATTCCAATTGAAAGTGTGCTCACTTAAGGAGAAAATTTAATTGAAAGCAGTGAGAGTAGACTGTCCACCATCATTCATCTTTGGCCATGACTCATGTAGCTGATTTTACCCGTGTATCCCTCTTGTTGCCCCCAAAATGGGCTGAATATTTCCTTCAAGCTGTACTCTGTATCCACAGGCACTAATAGATTACATGTATAAATAGGCAATAAAAGCTTTTGAGTTGCTCATGCAGAATCAGGAGTTGGGCCAATGAAAACCGAGACACATTGGAGTGTCAAGAATTGCAAATTTTAATCTTGAAGTAAAAGCAAATCCAAAAACGAGGTTATGTCACCAAACTGAGGACAAAGATGCGGGGTGAGGCAATTCAGTTATCTATAAAGTAGTGGAAAAAACAATTGAGTATTTAGGGTCAAATACATGATATTTAAGGTTGAAAGTGTTGGGATTTAAGCATGAACCCTTGAAATAGAGTAGAAAGGGAAGTGCCTACTGGTTTTAATATTGGGAGTGGTTATCACTACCTTGTCTTTCTCGACCAGACACAGATGTTAACCTCTGTTGATATAGCCTACATTCTCCCATATCCATTTACTCTACATGTACAATAAGTTAATATATATTTTTTTGAGAGATGAGGTCTTGCTCTGTCACCCAGGCTGGAATGCAGTGGTGCAATCATAGCTCACTGCATCGTTGAACTCCTGCGCTCAAGCATCCTCTCATCTTGGCCTCCTAAGCACTGGCATGGCAGGCATGAGCCATGGTGCCTAGCTTAAATAGTTTTTATTGTTTTAATAGATTATTTTATTTCTGCCATAAGAGTAAATTGCAAAGAAATATGCTAAACTTTAAATATTTAAACTCTACAGGATGTCTAAAATCTAGAGCTGTCAAATCATAAAATGCACAACCTTATCAGGTGGTGAGGCCCCATCATTGAAGGTAAGTGCAAGCTGGAAGGCTAGTTGCCCTTTTTGCATTGGGCACGAGGCTGAGCCAGACACTATCAGTTACCATTTCTGTGAGGCAACTCTGTATGAGATATTATAGTTGTTAAAACTGTCAGAGTGGAATTGCTCTGCAATTCTACTAGTTCAACTAGTTGTTAATTAAACAGTCTGCGTTGACCTGAAATTACATGCAGAATGAACTTGGTGCCTCTGAATACTAGAGTGAAACCAACTAACACAGAACATAGCTAAAGTTAATATTGTGTAAATTTAATTTCTAACCAGGCATAGTATTTCATTCGCAATATATAACAATTTTACATTGGAACTTGTAATGCTCCTCCTATCTGAAATAAAGCAAAGTAGAGGTCGTAAATGCTAAGTTATAGTCTAAATAATATACACACTAAAAATAATGAGCACAGACTTAGTATTTGAAGAAATGTAGAACTACTTGCAAGGAATATGTAGTATGAACAACATCAAAGCACTTATTTTCTGCTACTAGTGTTTATAAATATACTGGTCACTGGGTTACGGTAATATGCATTTTTATCTGTAAGTTACTATACGGGCTCTGAGTTCATTCACATAGAATGACTTAATATTGTAGGATTGTTGTTAGTGATTAGATTGCACACATAGAATGACAATTTACTCTAGAATTTCAGATAGGCTTTAATTCAAGTATCCAATCTTATTAGTCCATTGAAGATTGAGATATCACAAAACTCCAACATGTTGGTATATACATTGACTTTGTTAGACTATCTCCAGGCAGCCTTATATGGAACAAAATATCGTTATCAGTTCATATGTTCTAACAGAGGGGTTGGAAAATATGACCTTGATATCAGTGATTGCATTGTATTTTCAAGAGAGGAAGAAAGAGGCCAGTGTGTAAATTGTCTTGGCATTCAAATTAGGCTCCTTAAGATAGGACCTAGAATGAAAGTTAAGGCTTTATCGTTGGTCCCGATTAGCAAAAATAACCATATATAATTCAGTTAGTTTGTTGTGACACAAATAAAAACAGATAAAATGGTTTTGTTGAGTTGTCAGTGACTCAATCATTTTTCCTATAAGAATAATCCCAGCTACTCAGGAGGCTGAGGCAGGAGAATCACTTGAACCCAGGAAGTGGAGGTTGCAGTGAGCCAAGATCACGCCACTGCACTTCAGCCAGGGTGACAGAGCAAGACCCTGTCTCAAAAAAAAAAAAAAAAAAAAAAAAGTCACCATTAGTCTATTAAGGGACAAAGTAAAACCTTACGTTTCCATTGAGCCTCAGATCACAGATTCTTTTTTTTTGTTGTTATACTTTAAGTTTTAGGGTACATGTGCACAATGTGCAGGTTTGTTACATATGTATACATGTGCCATGTTGGTGTGCTGCACCGATTAACTCGTCATTGATCATTAGGTATAACACCTAATGCTATGCCTCCCCCCTCCCCCCACCCCACAACAGGCCCTGGTGTGTGATATCCCCCTTCCTGTGTCCATGTGCTCTCATTGTTCAATTCCCACCTATGAGTGAGAACATGCGGTGTTTGGTTTTTTGTCCTTGGGATAGTTTGCTGAGAATGATGGTTTCCAGCTTCATCCATGTCCCTACAAAGGACATGAACTCATTATTTTTATGGCTGCATAGTATTTCATGGTGTATATGTGCCACATTTTCTTAATCCAGTCTATCATTGTTGGACATTTGGGTTGGTTCCAAGTCTTTGCTATTGTGAATAGTGCCGCAATAAACATACGTGTGCGTGTGTGGGGAGGAAACACATATTCAAATTGATTTGTTAATTCTCTCACTCAACAGCAATCTACACAGATATCTTCTGTGACCCAATGTGTGGACCTTTGTCCCTACCAGTAAGCAAGCAGTCAGCTCTGCAGTGGGCACCAGCTGGGTATCCACCAATCCAATTCAATTCTGACACCCTCTACCTGGAGGTAGAATCAGATCCCGTAGGTTGAGAGCTCAGTCCTAAGACTGCCCTCCACCTCCAGTGCCTATCTCAAGCCCTAGGTTTTTACCCGTGCTTCTGACCAAACGGCTATGAAACCCCATACTCTGGGGCTCTGAAAGCCCAAACTGGTAGTCTTCCCCATCCTTCTGAACCTGGTCAGGTTCCAACACTCTGCTCTATGACACTACAGCTCCCCAACTTTGGCATGGATGCCACCTTGCTTGGGCTCACCTAATGGCTAAATTGGGGATCCCACGACCCCCTCCTAGGGTTTGATGAATTTGCCAGAGTGGCTCTCAGAACTCAGGAAAACAAACATACTGATCTATTATGAAGGATACAGAAGAGATGCATAGGGTGAGATTTTGGAAGGGGTGTGGAGCTCCCATGCTCTCCTTGTGTGCCACCTTCTGCAACCTCCACATGTTCAGCTATCCAGAGTCTCCCTGAACCCTGTCCTTTTGAGTTTTCATGGAGACTTCATTCTGTAGGCATGTCTGATTAAACCATTGGTCATTGGTAATAACTGTCATCACCTTCAGCCCTTCTTGCCTCCCCAGAGGTTGTGGAGTGGGGCTGGAATTCCCAAACCTCTAACGCTGCCTTGGTTTTCTCAGTGGCCAGCACCCATCCTGAAGCCACCTAGGGAACCAAACCACCAGTCATCTCATTAGTGTGCAAAAGACATCACCGTGGATATTCCAACGATTTTTGGAGGTGTATGCCAGGAAACAGGGCTAAGGACCAAATACGTATTTCACAGTATCACACAAATGGAGGGTGCTGGAGTAGATGACTGTAAAATTTCCCAGGGGTACAGGAACAAGCAAAGTGATCCTGACAATAATGTTCTTAGGCAGAGATTGTGAGGATTTACCCCCTTGCTCCTTCCTTGCTGTGAATTCTAGGAAACTGGGGGAGAGATGTGGCAGAGAACAGCTTGGAGTTAAACCAGGTAGCACTGACCTTTACAAATACTGTTCTTTAGGGTAATAACTCTTATTCTTCCTTTTACTTGTGTCTGGTTTATTGTCTGGAAACATATTACATTTAGCCTTTCTGTCTTTTTCTTGCCTTTCTCTCTTTCTCTCCCTCTCTCTCCATGTCCTTGCCCCGCTCTCTTTCCCTCTCTCTCTCCATGTCTCCCTCTCTCTCTCTCCTTCTCTATTTCTCCCACTCTCTCTCAAAAATCACCCTGCTAGGCACTACAGGAGATACAGCAGCATGTAATGGTTTGCAGAGACATTTCCATTTCAGGCACTCCTCTAAAGGCTTGTTATTGCATTTCATCTTCACAGCAACTCTGTGAGGTCAGTACTATTTTGATCCCATTTTACAACTGAAAAATAAACTGAGGCACAAAAGTGTTCTAACCCCGGTTTGTACCAATGTTAAAAACAATGTTACCCCAGTTTATATAACCAGTGAACAGAAGAGTTCTGTTTTGGGTGTAGGGTCTACGTGCTAACTACTTATTATTCAATTGGAGAAGACATGGATGTATTGTGTATAACACAATATAATTACAAGTAGTAACCACAAATATTCATGTTAATGGTAGAATTGTGTAACAGTTGCAGTTTACAGTTGTACCACTATTAATCAGGGCTAGTGAGCTAAATGCTTGTAACTACAAGATATTCCTCCTTAACACATATAGAGAGACCTGGGAGCTCTCTTCTGAGCCCTCAGCCTATGTTTATAATTGCTTACAGGGCCAGTCTATTGCACACCCCACAGGAATCAGTTTCACCACATCCCAAACCTCCCAGGTCCAGACTCATTCTCTTTCCTGTGACCCTGTTTTGGTGAGCCGAAGTAACATTCAAGCAGAAAGCCAGTGTTGTCTTTGAATCATCCTTATTTTATGCCCAGTCAAACATTCCTGTGAATTTTGTCTTGTAATTATTCTCAAATATCCTGTGGCAAGTGCATTTCCCAGGAAGTAGAGATTGAGATGGAGACATGAGTGCAAGCAGTTTATTCAGGGGCAATGCTTGTGAAAGATAGAGGAGAGAAGCAGCAGAACTGGGCAGGAAGAATGTTCAGACTCTGTTGTAGATCTGACATCGGAGAGGAGAAAGGGAAGAGGAAACAGGATCAGGCATGAAGTTTCAGACAACCTGGCACCTACAAAAGTCTAGGTCAACTCAGTAAGAAACTTAAGCCTCAGGACTGGCCATTAGACGAGAACAAAGTTGGACAAGAACGGCTAAATCCTAGTGTTGTGGCCATGTGCAGCCATTGGCTTAGGGCTACATGGGGTGAGTGGAAACTCAATTCCAGTGCAATGGCAGATGCCCAGAACATTACCACTAGAGGAGGTTGGGGAACTGTACTCCTTGGGATTTAACAAGTCCTTTCTTGAAGGCAAACCCGAGTGCACCTCTGTGGCTGCCACATGCCCCTCTTCTTTCCATTCCTCCTGTTACTAAGTCAGAGCCTCAGAATTTTCACTTGGATTATTATATGTTATCCTAACTGGTCCTCTTGGCTCTATTGCTTACCTCAGATTCATTCCATTCTAAGGGACACATGTAGAAAAGTAACGCTCCTCTTAAAATACGTCAAATTGTAGGCTAGGCATGGTGACTCATGCCTGTAATCCCAGCACTTTGGGAAGCTGAGGCGGGTGGATCACCTGGGGTTGGGAGCTCGAGACCAGCCTGACCAACATGGAGAAACCCAGTCTCTTCTAAAAATACAAAATTAGCCAGGTGTGGTGGTGGGCGCGTGTAATCCCAGCTACTCCAGAGACTGAGAGAGGAGAATCACTTGAACCTGGGGGGCGGAGGTTGCGGTGAGCCAAGATGGCACCATTGCACTCCAGCCTGAGCAACAAGAGTGAAACTCAATCTCAAAAAGAATAAGAAAAAAAAAATAGGTCAAATTGTGATAATCTCACAACAGAACATACAAGGTCCTTTTTTACTCCTTACATGCCTGGCCATACCCAAGCTCCCTCAATTGTTCTTCCACCATCTCTTCCGAAGAAATTTCCCCTGATTCTTTCAACTGGGATTGCTGACTTTTGCCTCTTTTATTTTTCCTTCCCTCAATGGAATATAGGCTTATCTAAGGGAGAAAGCACATCTTTCATCTGTGTAGACCCATGCTGAGCTCACTGACTGGAATATATTATTTTAATAATATGTATATTGAATGAATTACATAAAATGCATTAGTATGATATTTAATTGAAGACTGTCTCAAGAGAATCTGCAAACTCTAATTTTAGGTTTACAATTAGAAAGAAAAATTATTGGATCTACCTCATAATAATTGGATTTGTTAAAAACTCGCATTAAATAACTGAAGATACAAAACATGTTTGTTTACATGTAAGGTGGGCAATATATTTAGGAATCCAAAAGTGCCGGGTTTAATTATCCATGTTTTTGAAAATATGTAATTCACATAAATTTGATTCTATAACCACTATTCAATTTTAAGAAAATGGACTATGTTGTCATGGTCTCTGATAATAACATGCTCCTTATCTGCCGTTATTTCTGCTGTTACAGTTCCTTTCCAATTTGGGTCTTGATTTCTCTCAAGAAGGACTGTAAGCCAAGATAGGCACTCTCTAGAAGAGGCCTGGGTAGTTTTTGTGTGTCAGGCGAGACACAACGAGGAAGTGAAGCCAAAATGCATAAAACAGAAAAAATGTCTTACTTACAGATTCCAGGGAGGCCAGGGTGCTGTCGACGGGAGGTCTGGAGGCAGCAGGTATCTCAAGCAGGGAGTCGAAGCCAAAGAGGGAGAGCTTCTGGAACTGGGGCTTTACTAGGGCCCTCAGGCATGCTCCCTCAGGGGAGGTTGTGCATTGATTGGTTTAGAGGAAACACGTGCAAAGGGGGACGTTATTGACAGGACTCTGGTGTTGATCATTAGGTTCAATCATGGCCAGCAGCTGTGGGGTGTGTTGGGGTTTGCATCAGTGAGATGAGGAACACGTGGGCTGTATAGCAAACATGACACATGGCGGGACAGTCTTAACCAGGCCGAAGGTGATGGGACACCACTGGGTTTCAGACAACTTATATCAGGCCTAAAAGTGGATGCCGGCCAGGAGCGGTGGCTCACGCCTGTAATCCCAACACTTTGGGAGGTGGGGGAGGGCGGATCACCTGAGGTCAGGAGGTCAAGACCAGCCTGGCCAACATGGTGAAACCCTGTCTCTACTAAAAAATACAAAAATTAGCAGGGCGTGGTGGCGGGCACCTATAATCCCAGCTACTTGGGAGGCTGAGGCAGGAGAATCACTTGAACCTGGGGGGTGGAGGTTGCAGTGAGCCGAGATCACACCACTGCAATCCAGCCTGGGCAACAGAGCAAGACTCCATCTCAAAAAAAAAAAAAAAAAAAAATAGTGGATGCTGAGGCAGCAATTCTATGAAACCAATGTATGGCATTATCTTTACTTGCTGCCATAGTAAGCATTGGCAATATTAATATTAATGTACCAAATAGCTCCAGATTCCTCTTAGGCTGAACATTATTTGTTTTCAAACAAATAAAACAAAGACCTCAATGAACTTCTTTAGATGTGAAAGTTCAAGGTATGTGGACATGTTTTGGAAGGAGATTGGGGGCAAGTGCTGACTGCTATTTCTTGTATAATGAATAAATAGGATTTTTTTAGTCAGGAACAAACAAGAAGAAAAAAGAGGGAGTGGTCAGTGAGTCAAAGAGAAGCTCCATGGAGATAGGTGGTCAGAGAGAACTCCCAGGGTCAGGGTGGCCACATAACAATATTCAATTTTGAGTTCTGGAAGGTATTTAATATAAAACACTGCATCCTCCCACCTGTAAATGCCTATGACATAGCATTGTGCCAGTTATATGTCAGAGAATAAAGAATTTAGTGTTCAGAATAAGCACTGAGTGGAGCCACCAAGGGACGGTTGGCATGGCATGATGAAAGACTTCAAAATCCCAAGTGATCGAAGAAAAACAGGACTTCAAAGATGGAGGTGAGGAGGAGCCTGCATCCACCTCCCAGTTGTGTGCTGCAGGGAGCGCCTGCTTGCCCATGAATATTCTCAGGAATTTTGTAAGTCTGTTGTTAAACACAGCTATTATTAAAACTGCAATGAGATATGGTCTCAGGCTGCGCACAGTGGCTCACACCTGTAATCCCAGCACTTTAGGAGTCTGAGGAGGTGGGTGGATCACATGAGGTCAGGAGTTCAAAGCCAGCCTGGACAACATGGTGAAGCCCCATCTCTACAAAAATACAAAAATTAGCTGGGCATGATGGTGGGTGCCTGTAATCCCAGTTACTTGGGAGGCTTAGGCAGGACAATTGCTTGATCCCAGGATGCAGAGGTTGCAGTGAGCTGAGATTGTGCCATTGCACTCCAGCCTGGGAGACTGAGACTCCATCTCAAAAAAAAAAAAAAAAAAAAAAAAAAAAAGACATCATCTCACCCCAGTTAAAGTAGTTTATATCCAAAAGACAGACAATAACCAATGCTGGTGAGGATGTGGAGAAAGGGGAATCCTTGTACGGTTTTGGTAGGAATGTAAATTAGTGCAACCACTATGGAGAACAGTTTGGAGGTCCCCTAAAACACTAAAAACAGAGCTACTATATGACCCAGCAATCCCACTGCTGGGTGTGTACCCTAAAGAAAGGCAATCAGTATATTGAGATATCTGCAGTGTTGCAGCACTGTTCACAATAGCCAAGATTTGGAAGCAACCTAAGTGTCCATCAATAGATGAACGGATAAAGAAAATGTGGTACATATACATGATGGAGTACTGTTCAGCCACTAAAAAGAGTGAGATCCTGTCATTCACAACAACATGAGGGAAACTGGAGATCATAGGTTAAGTGAAATAACCCAGACACAGAAAGACAAACATTCCACAAATAAGTGAGAACATTACCTATCACTTTACATGTCGCTTATTTGTGGGATCTAAAAATAAAATCAGGGCCAGACGTGGTGGCTCATGCCTGTAATCCTAGCACTTTGGGAGGCCAAGGCAGGCAGATCACTTGAGGTCAGGAGTTCGAGACCAGCAGAGCTGATGTAGTGAAACCCCATCTCTACTAAAAATACAAAAATTAGCCGGGCGTGATGCTGTGTGCCTGTAATCCCAGCTACTCGAGAGGCTGAGGCAAGAGAACTGTTTGAATCCGGGAGGCAGAGGTTGCAGTGATCTGAGATCACTCCACTGCACTCCAGCCTGGGTGACAGAGTGAGACTGTGTCTCAAAAACAACAAACAAAAGCTCCCAAAACAATTGAACTCACGGATATAAAGAGTAAAAAAAATGGTTACCAGAGTCTGGGAAGGGTAGGAGTGGGGTGGCGGGGAGGTAGGGATGGTTAATGGGTACAAAAAAAAGTTATAAATAATGAATAAGACCTGTTATTTCATAGCAAAACAGGGTGACTATAGTCAATAATAATTGTACGTTTTAAAACAGCTAAAGGGTATAATTGATTATACTCGAGCACCTTAGTGTTATAACCAAAACCCTTAGTTGTTTGTGACACTGAGGATAAATGCTTGAGGGGATGGAGACCCCGTTCTCTATGATGTGATTATTACGCATTGCACGTCTGTACCAAAACATCTCATGTGCCCCATAAATATATGCACCTACTATGTACCCACAAAAATCAAAAATTATATAAGCATAATAAAATAAGTCGTATTAAATAACAGAAGTAACAAATCCTCAGAATATCACTTTCTGATTATTTTAGTACGTTTTACCATTATACATGTTCTGAGGTTATTCATGCCTAGTGTATCCGTATGGTGGCAACAGTATATAATGGTGGGTGATGGTTCAGCTATGGCATTTGGGTAGCGTGAATTTACCATGGTGGGAGTATTTACACCATAGGCATTGGCAAACACTACATGTTGGGATTTCTGGTTGTGGGGAGCTAGGTTGTTAAATAGCTACCAGTAACCATTGGCCACTCCCCAACTCATGAACATGAATATCAAAAGATAAGGAGGTATATTATGTGGCCCAGGACATGATGAAGAAGGAATAAGAGAAAAAAAATGTCTCGAGGGAGCAGATGGCTTCTAAGGAGAGCTGAGTTACACATGAGGTTCACGACTTCCCTCTGCACTTCCTTGCAGGGCTCCTGAATCTTCACACAGAGCTCCATACCTGTGCTGTTCATGCCCCATAATTCCCAGTCCATCTGTTTCAGTTCTGGTATAACATCTTATTTCTAATCTTTACTTCTATTTTGGATACAGAAGTGACGTACATATTTTTTATCCTTTCCTGAGTCTATTCAGTAATGTTGAGATAAACTGTATTTCTGACAAAGGAGATGATACATCTATATAATCATACTATTTTTGGTATTTTTTAAAACGTTATATTGGATTCATAGTTTTATCATTATCTGGCTGTGGATTACAACCCAATCATCATGCTTATTAATCTAAATCTTCTTTGATTATGTTAGGCAGATAGGATAATAAGAGAGCTCCTAAGAGATGTTTCATTGTTGGAGCAGTAGTGTTCCTGCCTGCATCATTTCTTCATTTTTTATTTTCCCAGTTTCTTGGCTAAAGTCACTAACAGCTTGCAAGTTCCAGCCTGTGTTGTTTTCTGGCCATGATGAAAGCAGGGAGGCAGCTCCAGCTTCCTTACAGCATGAGATGATACATTGAGTAATTCTCCTGTTTTGTGAATCAATGATCTAGTTAGTATAGGGGTTGAGGGTGTGGGTTCTGGACCCAGACTGCATGAATTCCTTCCAGTTCTCATCCTGCCACTTTTTAGCTGGATAACCTTGGGCATCTCTCTCCACCTGAGGTTTTGTTTCCTTGTGTGTAAAATGTGAATAAGGATGGTATCTACCTTATGGGTGGATTAGATTTCTGTGTCTGCCAGAACAAATGATAGAAACCTGTTGCTGA
Organism: Homo sapiens; assembly: GCF_000001405.40. NCBI lineage: Eukaryota > Metazoa > Chordata > Mammalia > Primates > Hominidae > Homo > Homo sapiens. The sequence continues at coordinate 10,397,807 of NC_000010.11, read as the reverse complement.
ATGCAAGAGAAATGTATTATTGTCTCAGAGTTCTGGAGGCCAGAAGTCCAAACTGCCGGAGTCAGCAGGGGCACACTCCCTCCAGAGGCTCTAGGGGAAATCATCTTTCATTCCTTGCCTCCTCCAGCTAATGGTGGTGGCTGGCATTCCTCAGCTTGTGGCTGCATCACTCCAATCTCTGCCTCCATAGTTAGACTGCTTCTTTCTCTTCTGTTGGCCTCCTGTGTGAGTCCCTTAAAAGGACACTTACCATTGGCTTTAGGGCCCATTGACTATTTCAGGATGATCTCAAGATCCTTAATTATATATGTAAAGATTTTTTTTTCAAATAGTGTAAAATGAATGGGTTCTGGGAATTAGAACATTATATATCTCTTTGGGGCACCATTCAACTCACTAAAATGGGGTTGTAAAGATTCAATGAGTGAATACAAGTAGAATAGCTGGAACAATTTCTTGCCTGTAATAAAGGATTATTAAATATTTCTCCTTTAATTCTCCCACTCTCCCTCCTTTTCTTTTCCTTCTCCCTTCTACTTTTTTCCCTTGGTTTTTTTTTCAACTTACTTTTTGAAGTCTTCTCATTTTCTTTAAGTTGCCATATTGAGTCCCAAGTCTCAGGATTCAGTTTCCACTGGGGTCTTTCATTGTTTCCCAACCAAAGGTAACTTCCGTTTCGATGTTGGGGTTTCTGGAGCAGGATTCTTCAAGTTGTACCAGTTGAGTTTGAGGGAGCATCTCTCCTGTCCCTGTTCCAGAGCCTCTCTCTGATGGCCTGCCTGAGAATGCCTGTCTTCTTGGCTGTCTCACCTTTTCAGTCTCTTTTCCAGGTTCTGGACAACTACTCCCGACCTATAGTCACTTGGACCATACTTCTGGATACCTCCAGCTATGATTTGAAATAATTGTATACTTTGCATTCCACATTCTGACTGTTCTTTTTCTTTGGCCAGAACCAAACCTCCAGATGTTTCTGCTTGTCTGCCTTATGAGGGAGACACCAGTGGTAGTCATGATCTGAGTCAACTCTACCCCACACATGATGTATTTTTCCCTTCTGACCTCTCCGCTGTCAGTTCCAAAAGCTGGACCAGCTAATTTAGTTCCTGACTTATCCTAATAGGTGGGCCTGTGAAACCCTGGCTTCTTTGTCCATTCTGTATCAAGGGGCATCACACTGAGTGGGCCTGGACGATCTTGAGATCTAGCCAATGGCATGGCTACACTAATTTACAAACAGATGAACATTTTGAATAGAATACTTCAAGATTTTCTTAACATTTTGGGGGGTTGTTATTGATAGATGAGAAAGAAGAAAGAAATCATCCACAACTGAGAGCATTTGAATTTCCAGTTATTCATAAAGTCACACATGGATGAAATTGACAAGCATGCCAGTTTTAGAGGCAGGTTAAATTCAACAACTCCAAAATTCAAAGAATAAAATGAACTCCATCCCCCTCAAAAAAAATCTTAAGAGCTGATCTCTCCTTTTGTTTCCTTGTCTGTAAAATGTGAATAAAGATGGTATCTACTTCATGGGTGTCATGGGTGGATTAGATTTCTGTGACTTCCAGAACAGATGATGACAAACCTGTTGCTGAATGCAAGAGAAATGTATTCTCTCAGAGTTCTGGAGGCCAGAAGTCCAAACTGCAGGGGTCAGCAGGGGCACACTCTCTCCAGAGGTTCTAGGGGAAATTGTCTTTCATTCCTTGCCTCTTCCAGCTAATGGTGGTGGCTGGCATTCCTCAGCTTGTGGCTACATCACTCCAATCTCTGCCTCCATAGTTACACTGCTTCTTTCTCTTTGGTTGGCCTACTTTGTGAGTCTTTTAAAAGGACACATGCCATTGGATTTAGGACCCATTGACTATTACAGGATGATCTTGAGATCCAACTCCCAAATTCAAAGAATAAAAAGAACTCCCCTCCCCACTAAAAGAAATCTTAAAAGCTGATCTCTCCTTCACAAATCCATGGGAAAAATCATACACTCCTGCGCTCCAGAATGGTCTTAGTCCTAGCATTGCATAACCTATGCACAGTTTACTGATCTGAAAACAATCCTGCTGTATTTGCTATTTCATGCATTTACTCATTCTTTACTTCACATAGCAATTATTCAGTGTGCATGAGTTCTGAGTTTTCAAGGGGTTATCTAGACATTTTACCTGACATTCATTTTGCCTTAAATAAAAAAAAAAAAGACTTGAGATCAAATTTCCTCAAGGGATCACTCCCTGCTGCACAGAAATGACTTTGCCTTAAAGTAAAAGTACATTACCTGAGGACTATAATGCATTAGGAGGGATTGTAGTAACAAGAAAAGAATCTGCTAGGATTAGCTCAGTATAATGCCGCATTGCACAATATTTCCAAGTTTAGTCATATTATACTACATTGAACTTTTCAGTTTATTGATTTTCTGTACATTCTTGTTAAGATTGTGTAATAGCTGCTCAGAAAAGTTCCAAATTGAAAAACTCTAGCTAGGAAAGTAACTCTCATAGATCTACTAATTAAATGTCCTTTCACTGGGAGGTAGGCTCCTCTATTCTGTATTAATTTTCTGGTCTTCTAGGAAGTTAATGCAACCTGTTTAATGAATGGAGAAGTGTGATTCACTTCCTACATTCTGGAAGACAGCTTCAAAAGAGGCCTTTTCAACTTCTTCTGTCATGATATCAGCAGGATATTAGATTTCTGTAAACAGTGATAGAAGCCTCAGAGTCCTGCTAGGACTTCAGAAATTATGACGGAGTATTTCTCTTCTCCTTCCGAAGTCGTATGCTAGTTATGATATTCTTACTGCATTTATGTTTATTCTGCCAACATCCTAGGAACCAATGTTTGAAATAGAGGCCTGATCCTTTGCCATTGTAACCTTTACAGTATGGCTCAGCTTAGAGTAGCCCACAGTTTAAAATAACAGTAGCTAAAAGCAATTGAAGTTCATTTTTCTCTCTTGTTCTGGAAGTCTGGATTCAGGAAAAGCTATGCAGGCATGGCACTGTGTGCTGTTGGGATTCCAAAGTCTCTTGATTTTTTTTTTTTACCTCTGCCATCCTCAACATGTGGCTTTTGCTTCATGGCCCCGTTAGTTGCCCATGTTCCAGCCATCCAGTCTGCATTCCTGGGAAAAGGAAGGGGCAAAAAAGACAGGCTTTGTCCCTCCAAATATACTCAGTGGAAGGCACACGGGACACATCTGCTAATACTTCATTGACAGGAACACGGTCACATGACAGCGATTTTTTGTGAAGGGGAAATGGAGTCTTTGCTTCTGGAAACTATGTTCTCAGTTTGTCATTAACCTTTATTTAAGTCATTTTAAAATGCACTTTTAAGAGTTGTCTTCATTATTTTTGAAATGGAAAAGAAGTTGTGTAGTAAACAATGCAATAATTGCAAAATACAAAAAACAAAACTAAATTTTTCCTAAAATTCCAAGAAGCATTGGCAGTAGTTTAGGGTAAATACTTTCAGTTTAATTTCTTTATAATAATTTCAATGTAATATATAATATATTTGCTAACATAACAAAATATCTTGAATTTATTTCCATGTTGGTATCAACATGTCTATGACATTCTTCTTTAAGGCAATATAGTGTTCCATTGTTGGGCTGTAGCATAATTTCTTTAACAACATGGCCCCTATTCATAGTTTGTTTTTTTTCCCTACTTTTCTTCTGTTACGACATAGTCACATTAACCACGCATGCACAGATGTTGCTTTGATATTTGTTAACACAGTGAAAGGTCTGAAATTTAACTTACTTTAAGCCAACAAGTTAGCCTGACACAGCTTCCTTGATGTCAGCAGAAGACTCCAACCTCCTGCATCAAAGAGAAAGGATTTTATCACTCACAATACCGTAGCCAGCAGAGCTCCGTGCTAACACCAGTTCCTCTTCCTTTGGACATCATTTTGACTGTAGGACCAGGCAGCTTCTGCTCATACACTGGGTTTGTGTCAGAATTGAGGAACCCCAAACCTAGGAAACCCCAATCTTTTAAAAGGGCCACCATCAAGCCTCTCCCATCTTTGCCCCAGAGGGAGCCATTATCTTTATCATATTAGTGGGCAAACAAATCTGCCTTCTCCTGGAAACAATCTGTCTTCACTACACAAACATCCCTGAAAAGATAGTCTGAAGCAGAAGTTGCCAGTGTCTCTGTTTATAAGATGTGCAGAAGTACAGAGACCCATGGAGAACTGTCTCCCAACAGCGTGGATTCTCTCACAGCAAAGAGTTCTGTGCCTGTCTTGTCTCATTGTCACTTCCCTATAGGTAGACTCTGTCAGGTTGTCCTCCCTGAGATTCTGGCTTTCCTGATGAACATCAATGACATTGTGGACTGGGTGACAGAGAAGGCAAGTCCAGGAAGTCTTCTTTTGAGAACCAGTTTAGAGTTCCCTGGACTAAATCACATCACATTCGTACATAATATGTGCCAGAAAACCAACTAACCAACCAACCAACCAATCAACCAACCAACCAACCTCAAAGTTCAAGATGAAAACATCTATTCCCATACACAGCTGTCTATCCATCCATCAGCATGTGCTTAATGGCTCTCTTCCCTGGGTTTACTTTGTGGCAGGCGCCATACTGATAATGCTATTCATTCTTGGTATTAGCATAGTGCTATGGTTTGGCTGTGTCTCCACCCAAATCTCATCTTGAATTGTAGCTCCCATAATCCCCACGTGTGGTGGGAAGGAACAAGTAGGAGATCATTGAATCATGGGCGCAGTTTCCCCCATACTATTCTTGTGGTGGTGAACAAGTTTCACGAGATTTGATGGTTTTATAAGGGGAAACCCCTTTCACTTGGTTCTCCGTTCTCTCGTCTGCCACCACGTAAGACATACCTTTCGCCTTTCCCCATGATTGTGAGGCATCCCCAGCCATGTGGAACTGTGAGTCCATTAAACCTGTTTTTCTTTATAAATTACCCAGTCTCTGGTATGTCTTTATCCACAGCGTGAAAACGGACAAATTCACATAGAGCAGAACAATACATAAAACAGTTCCTCTTCTGTTTGAGGCTTAGTTATATGTTATGCAATATTTCAGATTTACAGAACAGTTTACATTTACAGAACATGAAAACACAAGAAGTCAAATGTAGCTTGTGCAATATATTCCAAGACCAATTTAAATTTATCATCATCATCATTATTATTAGAGGCATATTTGCTGGTTTGTTTTGTTCCACTAATGCTCATAATAGAAGCCACTTATAAAATTGTTCCTGAGAGTGCCTACTTAATTAAAACTTAGATTTTCCTCCTTTTCTTATTCGGTTAAAATATTATAAATCAGAATCATGTTCTTCTCTCCTTTTCAGGCATACACTCATATTTAAATTCTCATGCTTGTTGAATTTTTCCTTCTACAGGACTTCAGTTTTCCATAACTGGAACATTTATTTATTTAGACCAGCTTATCTTTCTAGATAACTCACATATAGATGATTAGCTTTGTTTTGTTTTCCCATAGAATTGCTGAGGAGCATGTTTTATCTTTCTTATATGACCACATCAATGGCAGTCCCTCAGGATTTACTTCCTCTCTGAGGTTTACTGGATTCTTCTAAAATAATTGTTCTCAAAGTGTGGTCCCTGGACCAGCAGCAAGAACATCACCTGAGAATTTGTTTAAAATACAATTTACAGACCTACTCATGCCACAATTCTAGGGATGGGATCCAGTAATCTGAGCTTAAACAAGCCCTCCAGCTGCATTGAAGGCTACCAACCCTGTGAGAACCACTCTCTAAATCAGAGGATCTCAGCCTTGCTCGTGCAGGAGAATTACCTGGGGAGCTTTAAAGAAATATTGATGCCTGGGTCTTCACCCCTGAAATTCTGAATTAATTAGTCTCAGGTGAGGCCAGAGAACTGGGGATTTTACTAGCTCCGCAGGTGATTATAAAGTTCAGCCAAGGTTGAGAACCGCTGCTCTAAATCATTCATAACTTCACATTATATTTGCCAGCTCCAGGTTCTTTGAGTTTTTTTCTTTCCCTAAGAGGCTATGCCATATGAGCAGATAGCAAGGCTCTGGTGAATTAAATATTACCTTGTTGTGAGTGGATTTAGATATTAAATGAAATGTGACACTGCATCTTATCATTTCCTTTGGTTTTGTTTATCATACATGATGAGCCTTTGAACTTGAAGCTGAATTAATTTAATGCAATGTTTCCTTTTGAATCTGTTGGATTTTGTGTGTTTCAGGGTGACATGCAAAAGGAACATCTAAATGCTCTTCCTGTGATCTTTGGGGAAAGCACCCGAGTAGAAAGAGTGTCCACGGTACATTATCCATGTAAAGTGAGTTTAATCAGTCGGAATTGATTTGTTTAAGTTACACTTACATGTACAAAAAGAAATGTTCCGAACTAAATAAATTCAGTATTAAAATTGCCTTCACACTCCATACCTAACCAATTTTTATCACTGTATATGCTACCAGTTAGATGCTACTTGGGAAAGAAAATGTGATCCTTCAGCTAGCAAATGAGGAGAGACAGTAAGCAGTAACTTCTTCTTGGTTTCAGGGGAGAGGAATATCTTAGGAACCTCTCCAGACATAGAGTAGAAGCACTCCCAACTCACTTTATAATAGCCAATGAATCATTTTCTCCACACTCAGCCAGGTGTTTAAATCGTACCTTTGTCACAGAAATATTAACCAGTGACATACTTCTTTTCGTCTTCAATCTTATTTTATATATGGAGAGAGCTCGGGGGTGACTGTCCTTTGTGGGTCAGGTTTGATACTGGGAGATCCCTAGATGTCCTTTGAAACTGGGCATCCATAGATGTCATTTGGATGAGAAGATTCTAAAATATTCAAGGCCAAGTGACAGCCTTTCGCCACCTGAAGCTAGATGGACATATTCACTGTCACATGCAGCAAAGCCAGAATGGCTCCTGGGGTCTTGACTCACAAAGCTCTGTGGTGATGGCTAACTGACCACAGTGTTCCAAGGTGTGAGACTGGTGGACCAGCAGCAAAGGCATGACTTGATTTCATAACAGAAACAAGATATCAAGGACAAGGAAGCAGAAGGCAGATATCAACTGTTACAGTTTGACAATCATGAGCTCTTCCTCTGATTCTAGACCTGAGCAAATTCTCAAACCCAGAGCCCTTCTGTTGAAAGAGAATCTGAGGCCCCAAAGGAAGAGCCCTGATATGTGACAGAAAGCATATAGAGTACAACTTAACTTCCCCAGTCCTTCCTTAAGGCTACTTAGCAGACTATCCTAGGGAGAACTTTGATAGAAGATGTAAGAGTTCTTCTGCATAGATTATGTAGCCTGATAAATGCGAAGGTTTTATAGCTATAAATAGTGGATCTCATGATTAATTTTATGTCAGTTTGGCTAGGGTATGGTGCCCAGTTGTTTGGTCAAACACTAGTCTAAATGTTGCTGTGAATGTATTTTCTGTATTAAATTTCCACATTTACAATTAGTTGACTTGAAGTAAAACATATTACTTCCCATGATTTGAGAAGGCCTCATCCAATCAACTGAACACCTTAAGAACAAAAACTGGGCTTCCTGAGGAAGAGGAAATTCTGCCTCAATACTGCAACATAGAAATTCTACTTGAATTTTGGGGCTGACCAACACATTTTGACTTGCCAGGCCCACCATTGCCTGTGTGTATCAGTTCCTTAAAATCTATTTCTCCTCTTATCTATCTTTTATCTGTCTGTTCATCTACCCACCCATCCTTCCATCTGTCCATCCACACTATTTGTTCTCGACAATTTTGACCAACACAGTAGATAAAAATCTAGGTAGGGGAGTGGTGGTAGAGAACTACAGGATTCTGAAGCTGGGTCATATACATTTTTTTTTGAGATGGAGTCTTGCTCTGTCACCCAGTTTGGAGTGCAATGGCACAATCTCGACTCACTGCAACCTCCGCTGCCTCCCGGGTTCAAGTGATTTGCCTGCTTCAGCCTCCTGAGTAGCTGGGACTACAGGTGCCCGCCACCACACCTGGCTTATTTTTATATTTTTAGTAGAGAGGGGGTTTCACTATGTTGGCCAGGCTGGTCTTGAACTCCTGACCTCGTGATCTGCCTGCCTTGGCCTCCCAAAGTGCTGGGATTACAGGTGTGAGCCACCGGGCCTGCCCCGGCCATGTAATTTAATAGGCAACTACTAACATGCTACAGTCCCCAAAGAGATAATGAAGACTCAACCAGGCAACATGAATCGATGATGGCACCTGAGTTATTCATCATGAGCTGGTATTGGCATAACCCTAAGTCATAAGGTGAAGTAGGCACAATAGTGATCCACTATGCAGTGGAAATGACTCATCCAGAATTGGTTCCAAGCAGGTCCTGAGAGTACACATAAGTTACAGAAACAAGTGGCTCAGATTCCACGTCTGACGTCACATTAATGCCTTACCTCACTTTACACCATTGCCAGCTGATAGGCAGGTGAGCTTGTTTGTCAATGCAAGGGTATAAATAGCTGCTATTGCACTAATGACCTATCAGGGGTGCCCTTGAAATATGGTGATTAGGAGAAATCTTCTCAGTAGCAGTGCTTTGAGTAGTACGTATGATCATGTGTTTTGTTTGGAGGGAGAAGTTGTCCGAGGTAGGAATACACATGGACTCCAGGGAGTGGTGAGTGGCTTGGAGAGGAGAGCTGAGGAGAGGTATGTGGATGGACCTATGACATGAACACAAAGTGTGCAGAACACTGTATTGCATGTCAGTGGCCACCAAAGAACGCCTATTCCCAAGAAGAGGCTGGAAACCAGGTGAACAAGATGTCTCATTTAGGTGCCTCTGCTCTCATGGCCCTTTTGTTTGTCCATAAACAGAGGAGTCATGCTGGCAGGGATGGAAGCATGGATAGCCTAATTGCCATCAACTGCATCTCACCGAGCTTATTCTAGCTGCCATTGCTGCTGAAAGTCCTGCCCCTACAATCCCTCAAGGAGACCATCTGGGCACTTGGTGACAAGCTGCTAACATTAGACACCATCTACCTGTCTATGATTCATCCTTATTGAGAATGATCCATATCTTAAGCATGGCTTTGTCTCCCTTGACTGCAGTGACTGAGCTACACTGTCAGACAGCTCAAGGCATCCACTATACACCAAAGGAGGTAGGGCAGTGGACATATGACTGTGGGTTCCATTGGTCTTCCCATAAATGGCTCACCGGAAGCTGACACCCTAATAGAGCAACAAAGGAATCTTCTTAAGGGCAAAGCTAAGCCACAGTATGGAGAGGATACCCTGTGAGATGGAGTGCTATCACACAAGATGCTGTTATATGGTGCTGTGTCACTGACAGTTAAAAACCTGCATCTGGGAACCAAGGAAGGAAACAGAAGTTGATCCTCTCTCTATTAATTCTAATCAAGTCATTTGGAGACTGTGCTTGCCATTCATGCAACTCTAGGTGTTTCTGGATTAGAGATCCTAGTTCCTGATGGGAGTGGTATTCTTCCTTCAGGGGACACAAAAAGGATTCCACTAAACCTAAGTCAATTACCACAGGGCCATTTGGGTCCTCATGCCAGTAGTAGAGGGACAAAAAAAAGAATTACTATATTGACAGGAGGAATTTATGCTGATTATCACGAAGATAGAGGGTCACTCCTATAGTATAGGGGCAGACAGAAGAAAGTCCAGAATCCATGAGAGTTACTGGAACACCTCCGGATGCTTTCATGCCTTGTGACATCTGTGAGTGGTCAGTTGAAACAACCACAGCCAAGAAGCACATGATGGCCAGGGGATCAGATTCCTCCGAAATAAAAGTCTAGGTCATCTTGCCAGACAGGTAGCTTAGACCAACAGGAGCAGAGCTGAAGGTTGGAGTGAATTGGAATGAGTAGTAGTGGAGGAAGATGATGAATATCACGTGCTGACTCTTAATGCCATAGCTTATCCCATGAAACCTCCTCCAGCTGTAAAAGTTTATGGTTTTACTTTTGTGTGTTTGTCTATTTTTTAGAAGTTGTGTCTGGCTACTCCCTTGAACCAGCAGAGACAGATATCAGGACAACATGGCCTTAATATGGAGCATAGGATTGTAAGTCAATAAACTAACACTCTGGAAAATGAACAATAAAATTATTATTATATAATTACATATAAAAATTGAAATGCTATATAAAAATATAAATTTAAATAAAATGAAAAAATAATAGAATTTGTCTTTAAAAATGTGTAATTCATTTCCTTTTCATTTCACTATCCAGAAAAGTCTAAGTGTTCTTATACATCCTGGTGTATAAGAAGCTATGACCCCTATCATGACTGCTTAATAATGCTGATGATTAAAAGTTCATAAAGTTTCCTCTAATCTTCAATCTTAGACTCTATCTAAATTCTTCCTCTTATGAGCTATAGTAGCTTAACAATTGATTAGTATTCATTTTATTTTCATTCTGTGTTTGTACACTGTTATTAAACTGTCTTCTGTCATCTCCAGTAAGTAATCTTAATTATTAAGCAAAAGTGAAAAGACAGTAGATTTTTGTTCTGGGATTTTCGTTATTAAAATTTGTTCTAAGTCCATGTTTCTATTTCTTATGTAGACTCTTTTTGGTGCTGAGAACCTAGGATTTTATTTTAAATACTTCTTAAAATCTTGCAGATACTTCTTTCTGCTCCCACTGCTCTTGGTATATCCTCTCTCCTGAATTATAATAGCAACCCAGTAGCTGGTTTTATTGTCCAGAGTCATCTCTGTCTCAAACCCAGCCTTCGTACTGCCACCAAAGTACACTCTTATATAAAAAGAAATCTGAAGGCGCTGGTTTTGTGCCATGAACTTTCAGGGACTCCCACCATCATGTAAATTCCTCTGTGTTTTGACCTTAAAATACCTTGTCACCTTCATCTGCTACCATAAATTACTTCTCCCTTTTCTGTCTAAAAATGTTCTCAGTATCACAAAGTATTGTTTCAGTACCATATCCAGACACACCAACTATATCGTAACTGTCTCTTCCTTGTTTGCTTTTTCAAGGGCAGTTTCTCCATTTCCTTTATGAACAATAATTGTGCCCTGATTGAGCCATACCTTGGAAAGATGTTAGCGTGCCAGTAGACATTCTTGATACTTAAAGCCTTGGATGAGAGGCAGTCAACATACAATTGGGAAGAATGGACTTGTGACCAAAGGAGTAGCCAGATAGTATAGTAATGTGTTTAATTAATCGGCAGTCAAGAAGATCCAATGTGAGTTTATTAACTGGGTGATATGAAGATCCAAGCAAACCATGGGTTAGAATGGAAAATGGAAAAAGGGCATGCAGAAATCCACTCCTGAGAGAGGAGCTGCCATTCTTTATCCTCTTTATTTAAGTAAGAAGGTACAAGATCTTGCCCCAGTGGTCAGGCAAGACTAGGGAAAGGAGCAATGAGAGAGGGAGGCATGTGAGGCTGAGATGCCTGAAGCTGTTCCAACTGGACCAAGTCACATTTTCAAAGGCAAGGCTTTTCAATAAAATCCTCTAAATGATCCTCAAAGATCAATGAGCCGATTAGGCAATGGAAGTAAAGATGGTATTTTGGAGTTTGGTATATCAGATAAAAACCCAGCCAATACTTGTAACCTGTGTATATGGCCATTGCTTTTGATTTTTTGTTAAGAGATAAAATTGCTGAGATCACCAGCTGCTCTTTGGCCAAAGACTCTGTGTGGTCCAAGCTCAGTAGCAAATGACCAACATCCCCAGATGGGCTCAGTCACCTGCAGCCTGTCATGTCAGCACAATTGGCCATTTACAAACCAGTGGGGGTTTCTTAGGAGTTTGTTTATCTTTCAATAGAACCAACTGCCTGGAGTTGAATTGTCTGGGCTATAAATAGAGAAATAGTGCACAGGATAGTTTCACCATTAAAGAGGAGAAGAACATTAGATGGAAAAAAAGAAGCACATTTTTATATTACTGCTTTATAGGAACCTGGGTAGAGTCTTTGGAATTTTTACCCAGTTAGCTTTGCAACTGAAAAAGAAAATAATGGTTAACAGTACCAGCATGTTCCAAATACCTAAAATCTGCTGAATGTCATTTTATAATCTCTGGAGGTCAGAAAAAGAAATCACGGTGGGATATTACCCTTGTCAACCCTAATGGTAGTACAACAGACTGATAATCTATAAAGCAAAACACTGTAGTAACCTCCTGAGGTTACTAGCAGGTGGAGCACGCTCTGTTCTGCAGAAAGCAGCTGGGTACAGTTCAAAGCATTCACAAATTCTTTATAAGGATGCCTTGTGTTACCAGTAGGGCCAAAAATGTCTCAATCAGTGCACATTTCTATAACAATGACCAAATTCTTGGCTAAGATGTTCCTGAAATGTGCAGTAGACTATCCTCACAATTTTATGAATTAGCTGATGTGAAAGATTAGGAATTTTCCATTTAAATCTATCTACCAGTGATATGTGTCCAAATGACTGGGTCAATCCAGACTAATTTGGTTTTTGCTACACTGCATACATTCTCACAGGCTTATTTTTGAAGAAAATTGCAGTCACATATTATTCCTATCAATTTGTCTCTTTGTATATTTGCCGTATTTACTTTTTCTGATAAAATTTAAACACTGATCAATTATGATGCTCTCAGCAATACTGACCTCACACACTGACCCTATTTGAATTATACATTTACATAATACACGTTATTTACTATATAATTTTTATAACCTTTTTATTTCTGGACCAATAGGAAAATTTTTAAAAAATTATTTACCTGGAGTAAAATTCACTCTTTCTGGTGTTCAACTCTAAGGGTTTTGATAGACACGTAGTCATGTAACGATCACTACTACATTTCCATACAGAATAATCTCTCACCTGAACGTTGCCTTTGTGATGCCCCTATGTGGCCAGTCCTTTCATCCACCGGCTCACCCCTCACCAAATCCTGGCAACCACCGCAGTAGTTTTGCCATTACCAGAATGTCATGCATAATAAATCACAGGCTATTTAGCCTTTGGCGTCATGCTTCTTTCACTGAGCAAAGTGCATTTAAGATTTATTCATGTCGCTGCATGAATCAACAGCTCATTCATTTTTACTGCTGCATAGTATTCCATTGTATGCATGGAAAACATTCATTTTCTATTCATAATCTTTTCCTTGATTTAAGGACATTTGGATTGTTTCCAATCAGCGGTAGTTATAAATAAAGTTTCAATAAACACTTGTGCCCAGGTGTTTGTGTGAAAGTAAGTTTTCACTTGGCTAGGGTAAATATTGAAGACTGGAATAAGTGGTTCATATCGTAAGTGTAAGTGTAGCTTTGTAAGAAACCTCCAAACTGTTTTTTACCGTTGCTCTACCATTTTGCATTCCCACCAGTAGTGTAAGAGAATTTCATTTGCTCTAAATCTTTGTCAGCATTTGGTATCATCAGTGTTTTTTTGATTTTTTTTTTATGAAATGTGTATTTCATTGTTTTAATTTGCATTTCCCTAATGGCTAATCATTTTGAGCATCTGTTTATGTGCTCATTTTCCATCTGTATGTTTTCTTTGGTGAAGTGTCTGTACAAATATTTTGCCCATTCTCAAAATTTATTTTGTTTGTTTGATGTTTTCTTGTTGAGTTTTGAGAGTTATTTATGTATTCTGGATACAAGTACTTTGTCAGAAATTATTTTCTCGATTCTAATTCCTTTGACTTTCTATATACATTTTATAATTGCTGGTGATATTTACAAGAACATATGATGGGATTTTGCCTGGGATTGCATTTAACCAATTGTTCAGTTTGGGAAGATTGACATCGTAACAGTACCGACTCTTCCTCAAACGCAGTTTGTATCTCCATTTATTTAGATCTTCTTTGATTTATTTAAATGGTGTTTTGTAGTTTTTAGCACAGAAATTCTACACATTTTTAGATATTCTTATACCTAAGTATTGTTGTGTTTTGGTGTTATTATACATAAAGTTTAACTAAAAATTTTAGATTTCCAATTCTTCACCACTGCCATATACAAATATTTATTTTTGTGTATTATCCTTGTATTCTGTGACTTTTCTAAAATTCACTTAATAGTTCTCAGAGTAATTTTATACATTTGTTTGAGAAGTTTTTAATATGGCTTATTACACTGTCTAATGCTCCCAGTATGATGTTGAATAGGAGTGGTAAGAGAACATTTTTGCCTTACCCATGATCTTAAGAGAAATTATTCAGTTTTTCCTCATTGAGCATATGCAATCTATTGATATAAATGGGAGCTTTTTATCAGGTATACTTCTGATAGGTAAACTCTTTATAAGGCAAACTTCTATTCCCAGTTTGCCATGTTTCTGGAACCCCCACTGAGGTGACCTTTTTTTCTTTTTAAGCATGTTATAGTAAATTACTTTGACTGAATTTTTAATGTTGAACCAGTCTTGCATTCCCAATGGGACAATCTTAATTCATAGAAATTATTTGTTCTTATCATCACTAACTTTATTTACTTTCCTAAAGTTGAAATATATATGTATGTATGTATATATACACACACACACACACACACACACACATACACACTCATATATTATATATATAATGCACATATATTTAGGGTTTATAAAAGGCAGTTCAGTTCCTTAAATTAAGTTAAAAATTAATTTAATTTGAACTTCCTTAAAAATATCTAGTCTATCTCTCATCTACCTAATCAATTTTAGTTTTTTAAAGTTATTTTTTAATTGACACATAATATAATAATCGTATGTATTTATGGGGTACATAATGATGTTCTGATGTACACAATGTATGTTGATTAAATCAGGATAATTAGCATAACCATGACCTCAAACACAGTACTTTTTGTATTAGAAACATTCAAACTCCTCTCTTCTAGCTATTTGAAAATATATTATTGTTAACTATTGTCATTCTACAGTGCTATACAGCATTTGAACTTATTTCTCCTATCCAGCTGTAATTTTATATCCTTCAACCAATAGCTCTCTATCCTCTGCTCCCTCCATCCTTCCCAGACTCTAGTAACTACTCTTTTACTCCTTTTTTCTGTGAGATCAACTTTATATCTTCCACACGTGAGTGATAACATGTAATGTTTATCTTTCTGTTCTTGACTTATTTCACTTAGCATAACGTCCTCCAGGCTCATCTAAGTTGCTGGGAATGACAGGATTTCACTCTTTTTACGGCTGAATAGTATTCCACTGTGTGTATATACCACATTTTCTTTATTCATTCACCTGTTGATGGACAGTGAGGTTGATTCCACATCTTAGCTATTGCGAATAGTGCTGCAATAAACATGGGGTTTATTGCAGATGTCTCTTCGACATACTGATTTCATTTTCTTTGGATATGTACCCAGTAGTGTGTTGCTCAATCACATGGTAGTTCTACATTTAGTTTTTTGAGGAACCTTCATATTGTTCTCCATAAGGACTGAACTAGTTTACATTCCCACCAACAATATATAAGAGTTCCCTTTTCTTTGCACCCTCACCAGCATTTATTATTTTTTGTGTTTTTGATAATAGCTGTCCTAACTTGGGTGAGGTGATACCTCGTTGTGGTTTTTGGTTTGCATTTCCCTGGTGATGAGCGATGTGGAATATTTTTTCATATACCTATTGAACTTTGTCTGTGTTTCATCCCACAATGGCTTGTTATTCATTTTATACTAATTAACTCTTTCAATTCAGTGTTTATTAAACATATAATATGTTGAAAATGTGGACTAGACCCAAGGGATAAAGGGGAAACTATCCTTAGTGAACTTATTCAGCCTTGAGGTATAACCAATATGCTCTGGGCGTGTCGAGAAAGGGCATGTGAATCAGTGTGTGTGGTGAGTGAAGCCTTCTTGGAGGAGGTGGCTGGAGCTGAGGCTTGAAGGAAAGGTCTACATAAATGTAGTATACACGTTACCACCTTCTCCCCTTACCTAACATTACTTATCCCGTTTAAGGCCATAGGGAGTGAGAAGTAACTTTGTAACTCACCCAGCCCTCCACAGTTGACTGGATCAGAGCAATGAATCCACTGCCTGGGATAAGGCATGTCATCCTCTTCCCAGTAGTATGAGGAGTGGTCCAGTCCTTAGCGTTGGACTCGAAAGCAGGACGATATGGTAGACACAGTGAGTTGGCTTCTACCTGTTGCTATGTGTAAGTTAAACAATCAACAGGAAAATCCCATCTTTAATGACAGCAGGAAGAGAAGAAAGATCAGGACCCTGAGGGAAGGGAATGGAGAAGCTGAGAAACTAGGCTCCTTGGAACCTGATACTTTTCTAGTTCCTATAAGGTCCACTTGAACTTCACTTATTTTTTTTTATTTTTTTATTTTTATTTTATTTTATTTTTTTTTGAGATGGAGTCTTGCACTGTCATCTAGGTGGAGTACAGTGGCACGATCTCGGCTCACTGCAACCTTCACCTCCCGGGTTCAAGTGATTTTCCTGCCTCAGCCTCCTGAGTAACTGGGATTACAGGCGCCTGCCACCATGCCCGGCTAATTTTTTTTTATTTCTTTTTGTATTTTTAGTAGAGACGGGGTTTCACCGTGTTGGCCAGGCTGGTCTCAAACTCCTGACCTCATGATTCGCCCACCTCGACCTCCCAAAGTGCTGAAATTACAAGCGTGAGCCACCACACCCGGCCTGAACTTCAGTTTCTTAAGATCGTTGTATGACTTTATCACAAACTTAACTTTTTATTTGGGCCAGTTAGGGAGGATTTCTGAGCCTTGAAAGCCAAAGAGACTTGATTATACTTGACATTTCATACCAGGGTTTGGACCAACAGACCCTCGAGACAATGTGGGACTGATTGTGTCATCAGGGTGGAATGGAGCTGGCGGGGGACTCTTAAGTTGGTGGGGAAGCCAGCAATAGTAGTTTGCTAGGACATTATAGAGCACATCCCTCTGAATGCAAAGTTAAAGCCATATGTAAGCAGAGTGGGTATGTTGGATATTGGACACTTTGCAGCTATAAGCAAAGTGGAACAGTTCTATGTCAGTGACTACTATTTGTCCCTGGATAAACACTTCCTTCAAGTTCATATCCATAAAAGTACAATCCATGACATTAACTACACGCCTATAATAAAGAATGATAATAATAATAGCTATAATTTTTGAGAACTTGTTTTATGCTAGTGATTGTGCCAAGAGCTTTACTCGTTCTACCTCATTTAATCCTTACAAATTTCTTATGAAGTAGATATAATCACTTTTCCATTTTATAATCGAGGACACTGAAGTTGAAGCAATTGAGCAACGTGCCCAAGGTCACAAAACTAGTGGGTGATAGGGCTGAGTTTGGAACAAGATTCTCATTTTCTGATGTAGTTTGGATATTTGTCCTTGCCCAAATTTCCAATACTAGAGGTGGGGCCTGGTGGGAGGTGTTTGGATCACAAATGATTTGGGCCATCACCTTGGTCATAAGTGAGCTCTAGCTCTGAGCTCTTGTGAGATCTAGTCATTAAAAGTGTATGGCGCGTCCCCCTACCTCTCTCTGTCTCTCTCTCTCTCTTACTTTCTCTCTTGCCCCTGCTTTCACCATGTGATATGTCTGCTCCCCCTTTGCCTTCCACTGTGAATGTAAGCTTCCTGAGGCCTCATCAGAAGGTGAGCAGACATCCGATGCTATGCCTCCTGTATAGCCCACAGAACCATAAGCCAATTAAACTTCTTTTCTTATAAATTACCTAGCCTCAGGTATTTCTTTATAGCAATACAAGAACTGCCTAATACATCTACATCTTCTCAAGCATGAATAATAGTTATTTTAGTTTTCGAAATCTCCTATACTCTAGATTTCATGAGGGCAATCCTTATTTAATGTCTTTCCTAAAGATTTGCGTGTTCCTTAATGTCTCCTTTAGATTTTAGACTGGGGCAGGGGGAGGGGTGTCAGAAAACCCTGTGGAGAGCCAGATAGTAAATATTTTAAGTTTTGTGAGATATGTGTTGCTACTAACAGCACTCAACTCTGTTTTGTGGACCTAAAGCAGCCATGGCAACATAAAATGAGCATGGCAGTATTCCAATAAAACTTTATTTATTGACAGTGGGATCTGAATCTCATACAGTTTTCTCATTTCAAGAAATATTACTCTTTTAATTTTTTAAAGCCATTCAAAAATTCTTAACTCACAGTTTATACAGAAACAGGACTGTCATCGTTTGCCAACACTTGTTCCAAGGCTCCTAAAACATTCTACATTTTCTCTCTCAGGAAGTTTTGTTCCTGTCTTCCTCAGACTCCATCTTTGTTCTTCAGATTAGGTTTTCTACTGTATGACTGACTTTCCAAGCCAGAAGCCTAGATTAATCATCAATATGTTATTCAACTTGGTCTTCTTCTCCTGTCCTTTGCCTACTCCTGCCATGTTTTCTTATGCAAAGTTCTTCTTATTCCTTACCTGAAACTTATTTCCAACTTCTGCTTTTCTTTACTTGTTCTATACCAATCTCTTCCAAGTGGAATTCTCCTATTCCAGAGGACTCTTGATATATTGATAAATCTTTTTCACCATTGTGTCTCCTGTTCCATTTTTGTGATTCTAATTTTTCTCCATGTCTTTGGCCTCTATAGTACAATACAGCTTTAGATACAAAATACATTTTAAACTGCAATATAAGCAGTCAATGGTGGTTATCACAGAATAGCAGATAATTTAAGAAATCCAAAAATGTAGGCACATTTATAACTATTATTCTATGTACTGGCATATTATACCTATGTTCTATGTAGTGGCTTGGTCACTAATATTTTTTGATAATCAATATTATCAATATTTAATCAATATATATAATAAAATTATTAGTCCATAACAACATATGTAAAGCTGTATATGATCATTTACTGACTCAGTCATCTATTGTTGGCTATTTTGGGTGATGGTGTTTCTTTTCACTTTTACTAATAACACTTGGTGGAAAATCATTGTGACTGCTTCCTTGTACACATCGATGCTTAGTTATTTTCTTAAAATATGTTCCTCAAGCTGGGAATGCTGCATTGACATTTTTGCATATTGCAAGGGCTATTTATTACCATTCCAAAATTAACCTACAGAAAGTTTTATCAATTTTTACCTCTATGAGTAGTGTATTAAATACTTTCTTCTCAGGCAAGCCAATGCTGGGTATTAGCAATTTTAAAAAATTAAACTTCTAAATAAATAGGTAAAAAATATTATGCATTAAGAATTATTAAGGACATTAGATTTTTTTTTCCTAACATATACTTTCTAACTATCTTCTCAGTTTGTGGAATCTCTAAATTTTATGATTTAAATCTTATGTCACAGAAGCTTTAAAAAATTTTATGGACTCAAGTATTCTATTTGTTGGTTTTTTCTTCCCATGTTAGTTTTCCGGTATAGATATCATTTTAGAACATCTTTCGGCTGGGCTTGATGACTCACGCCTATAATTCCAGCATCTGGGAGGCTGAGGCAGGAGGATCACCTGAGGTCAGGAGTTTGAGACCAACCTGGCCAACATGGTGAAACCCTGTCTCTACTAAAAATGCAAAAATTATCTGGGCTTGGTGGTGGGTGTTTGTAATCCCAGCTACTCGGGAGGCTGTGGCAGGAGAATCACTTGAACCCAGGAGGTAGAGGTTGCAGTGAGCCAAGATTGCACCACTGCACTCCAGCCTGGATGACAGAGTGAGACTCTGTTTCAAAAACAAAACAAAACAAAAAATAGAACGTCTTTCACATTATTTTTACATTTATGGAATTGTTTTTCATGTTAATATTTAAATATTTAATTCAGACAAGTTGCCATGCAGTTGGTTAACGATATTTCTTAAATAATATTTCATTTTCTTATTTATTTGAAGTGCTGGCTTTAACTTATAATAAAAGAACTATTTGGGGAACATTTTATACTTTCAATTTGTTCTATTGATGTTTCTGCATATTCCCTCCACAGCCTTTAAAATATTGTAAATATGTAAGAGTAACATTTCATATAATTCTACTTAAAAAAATATTCTGGCTTTGTACCTCATTCTGTAATGAGTTGGTAAGTTTCAGGTGAAATGACCCAACTGCTCATATGGCCATATCTTGTGTAAAGAAATGGAGTCATAGAATGGCTGATTTTAGGTTCCTTTCTCTCTGTTCCACAGCAGCCTCATTGCCCTATTGATTCTTCCTGTTATCTCTACCCTAGACTATATGTGTCCCAAGGTCAAGCACCACCCCCATTCTTGATTCCTCTGTGCCTAGCTTAGATCTAGTATCAGATTTTATGGGGTGTCTTAATCAATCCAGGCTGATATAACAGAATACCTTGGACTGGTGATTTATATGCACTATAAATTTATTGCTTATAGTTCTGGAGCCTGGGAAGTGCAATTTTAAGGCATCAGCAGATTCAGTGTCTGGTGAGGGCTGTCATCTGTTTCTAAATGGTGCCTTCTTGCTGCCTCCTTTTGTGGGGGAAGGGGCAGGAGCCTTCTTCAAGTCACTTTTTTAAAGGCATTAATCTCATTCATGAGGGTGGAGCCCTCATGACCAAATCACCCCCTAAAGTCACCATGTCTTACTATGTCAACAATGGGGATGAGCTTTCTACATGAGTTTTGGAGAAACACAAATATTCAGATCATAGCATGAGGCAAGGGTGTTGCCGAAGCCATACTGCAAATTAATAAATAGCAGAGGTAGAAATAGTTCTCATATCTTTTACAGTCTAGTCCATTGGTTCTTACTTTTAATTTGTTTTTCGGATCATTTGAATTTCTCATTTACCTGTGTAGACATTGTGGTTTCTGTTGTCAACAACAACAGCAAAGAAATAAAGATAAAGGAAAAAGAGAGAGAGAGTTATTTCTTCAGGTTGATTACCAATGTAATTGCTCTGTTTTCTGATTTTTCTCACCCATCCCAGTTTTTAAGGAAAACATTTAAATCATATAAATGTTCCAAATATTTACATTTATTCGCCATTAGTTTTTAGTGAAATTCTACTTAAATAGAGCTGTATTTAAGGAGTCCGATTGTAGGGTAAGGTTATAACTCCTTTCTAAGCTTGTTTAAGTTTCATACAAGGTGAACGCCTTGGGAGCCACCTTTGTTTCTGGGTCATGTCTGGCAATAATTGAAACTCAATAAACTGAACTGAACTCTTGTTACCCAATCATGCATCTCCCTTGATTTTTTTCCTTCATGCACAAAGAGCTGCTTTTGTGGGTACATAAAGGGTATTTTCTGGTAGTTGTTAAATATTAGTATTTAATATTAGCTGTTGTCTCTATAAGTATTCATTTTTATTTAGACAAAAATATCCTATAGGGTGAGCCTCATTCATTAAGACTTAATTCAGGCATCATCTCTCTCTCTCTCTCTCTCTTTCCTCTCCCTACTCTTCTTCCTACCAAAATTTTCCTGATGCCTTCAGGCTAAGTTAATGACCTTTCTCTGTGTTCCAATGATACCTGTTTATACTTCCTTCCTGGCACATATCATTTGGCATATTTTGTATAACGATCTGCTTGTGACTGTCACCTCCTCCAGATTATAAATCTAGCAGAGATTTTAAATGTAGTTGTCATAAACATTTCTTAATAAATGAATGTACGTGCAACATGTTTGATTTAGAGCCAACCTAGGCTAAGGTTCAGGCAGACAGATGATTTATTTACCAACAAATTTCAAATTTGAAATGCCTTGAAAAAACAGTTTTAATAAACAGTTAAAGCAAAAATTAAACAGATTTAATAAACAGATAAAGCATAAATATTCTGTTAGGGATAATTTCCAATCTTACTTTAAAATAACAGCAATCAATTTTCTTCTTGAACCATGTGTACAATATATATATGCCAACTAATTACAAGACCCAGGTCTGATGGCATCTGTCTCTGCAGGAAAGTTAATATGAAATATCTAAAAGAAGGCATCTCCTAGTCTCCTGGACTTAAAGTCACTCAAAGTATATGGTCTTGTCTATACAGAGACATATGTCATAAGGATAAAAATGCATTTAGAAATTTCCATGTTCTTTCTCAATATAGAAATATGTGAGTTACCATAGCAACAAGTGTTATAGATTCACTTATTCTCTTTCTATTATTAAAAAAATGCAGAAGCTGAAATATTTTATAATAAACTTTGCCATTGATGTCTAGGAGAATATTTTGGTGATCCTCTAAGATACTTGAAAGAATATGTTAAAACGGGAATAGAAGAATCGTTCTTAATAAAAAGTCATTGAACTATCACACACACACACAGAAAACCATCAAGTCACATATATTTCCAAATAACATGAAACCTTCCAGGGTAGGGCAAATAATATTTTGTTTTTGCTATTTGGATATGAAATGGAGTCAG
Organism: Homo sapiens; assembly: GCF_000001405.40. Taxonomy (NCBI): domain Eukaryota; kingdom Metazoa; phylum Chordata; class Mammalia; order Primates; family Hominidae; genus Homo; species Homo sapiens. The sequence continues at coordinate 10,375,428 of NC_000010.11, read as the reverse complement.
ATTTATTTTAAGAGAACAATACCAGAAACTTGAAATATAAATAATCACCCCTTAAACGCTGAATGCTCTCCTTTTTTATATATAACTTTCAATAACAAAGGAGCATGTTTTATGTTTTTTAAATAAACAATACATTAATGACCAAAATGTACCTCATTTAAAAAAAAATTAACCCTTGAAGAAATTAAGAAAGACTCTGAAGGAAATAGAAGAATTACAGATGTTGAAATGATAAGCATACTATTATCATACTGGTTAGGATGGAGAATTTAAGTTGGTTTTAAAAATATTGAATTGAAACATTCAGATACTCAATTAGGAGAGTCACCAAGCAATACTATGTTTTTCTAAAAGTCCTACAATTATATCCTATGCTTTCCCTTGTAGCTTTGGACTTAAAGCTTCATCTGAGTGCTCGGCTCCGCTTGGATGTTTCACAGGTTCTACAGCCCCCAGCTGAAGTTATGGTCTCCAACCACCCGCTACCTGTTCTCCCTTCCTGCTTTTCCATCTCCATAAATGGCAGCACATCTGTCCATGGGCTTAAGAAACACCAGGACCTTCTTATAGAGTGTCTTACAGTATCCTTAAAGACTCCCTCCTCCGGGTGGATCACGAGGTCAAGAGATCGAGACCATCCTGGCCAACATGGTGAAACCCTGTCTCTACTAAAAATACAAAAATTAGCCGGGCGTGGTGGCGGGCACTTGTAATCCCAGCTACTCGGGAGGCTGAGGCAGGAGAATGTCGTGAACCCGGGAGGCGGAGCTTGCAGTGAGCCGAGATCGCACCACTGCACTCCAGCCTGGGCAACAGAGGGAGACTCCGTCTCAAAATAAATAAATAAATAAATAAATAAATAAATAAATAAATAAATAAATAAATAAAAGACTCCTTCTGCACCCGTTCAAAACCACTCAATAACCTGACAATTATTTGCCTACTAATTATTTTCTGAATTCGTTGCCCTGTCTTCTTTCCGACTTCAGCTTTCTAAAATGAACCCCTCTGGCCAGGCGCGGTGGCTCACGCCTGTAATCTCAGGACTCTGGAAGGCCAAGGCGGGCAGATTGCCTGAGGTCAGAAGTTCGAGACCAGCCTGGCCAACATGGCAAAACACTGTCTCTGCTGAAAATACAAAAATTAGCCGGGTGTGGTGGCGGGCACCTGTAATCCCAGCTACTCGGGAGGCTGAGGCAGGACAATCGCTTGAACCAGGGAGGTGGAGGTTGCAGAGAGCTGAGATCACACCACTGCACTCCAGCCTGGGAAACAGGAGGGAAACTCCATCTCAAAACAAAACAAAAAACAAAATGAACCCCTCCTTCCCTCCTATCTGGGTGACTAGTTTCCCCAGTGGTCTCTTTCTCTCTCTCTTCTTCTGGTCTTGGCTCCCATCTGTATCCTCCACAGAGTAATGGCAGAGCACTAATGTTAACAACAAACTCTCATTTTCTCACCCAATCCCCTTCCATCGCTCCCACTGACTAAAGACAATCAAAACTGTTTCACATGACATTGACCCGGCCTCTGCCCTCCTCTCCACCCTCACTTTCCTTCATGCTCCAAAGGGATGCCTGTGTCTAGTAATTCCACGCTGCTTGTTGTTGTTGCACATGAAGGATCTTCCCACTTTTGTGTCTTTGCCTGTGCAGTCACTCTTTCCTGTCATTTTCTTTCCTAAGTCCTTCCTCTGATTTTTTTTTTTACTCATCCTATTAAACCGCAAGCAGCCTCTCTTCCAGGAGGCCTCCAGGACACCCTAGGTGAGTTTCCTGTCTCTCTGCTTCCATAGCAGCTGTTACTAATCTTCACCATAGCACCCAACACCCTATTCAATCTGCGTTTGGGTCTTTGCTGTACTGTAACCATTACAAAGTCAGGAACGGATCTTTCCCATCTTTGAATCTTCAGTGCCTGGCATCAAGCTTCTCTGAGATGGCTGGGTGCGGTGGCTTATGCCTGTAATCCCAGCACTTTGGGAGGCGGAGGTGGGCAGATCATTTGAGGCCAGAAGTTTAAGACCAGCCTGGGCAACATGGAAAAACCCACCCTCTATTAAAAACGTCAAAAATTAACTGGGTGTAGTGGTGCGCACCTGCAATCCCAGCTACTCAGGAGGCTGAGGCTTGAGAATTGCTTTAACCCAGGAGGGAGAGGTTGCAGTGAGCCGAGATCATGCTACTTGCACTCCAGCCTGGGCATCAGAGTGAGACCCTGTCTCAAAACAAAACAAAACAAAACAAAACAAAACAAAACAAAACAAACAGACTAAAACTTCTCTGAGGAGAGAAGGCCAACATTTTAACAGGATTAAATATTAGGTAATATAATTTAAGGTTATTGATATGATGCTATTACTTCTGGTGTAGTTGTCTGCTAACTATTTTTCAGTTAAGACATTTTTTATTTAAAAGTTCTTATTAGACATCTCATTTTGAATCAAACTTAAAAGCTAAAAAGAAGAATACTGAAAAGAAGGCAGTGTCAAGTTTTCAAAAGAAGACACTATTGCCTGCTCTTTGCAGAACAGATTTGAGCAGTTTCTGGATATTGTTCCTGTGGGCACATGGGGGTAACATGCTGCATAGGAACACAGAGCCGTAGACCACATTGAATCCAGGAGGAAACAATACTCCTGGGTATTAAGGAAAGAGGGAAAAATAAACCCCAAGCCTTTAGGTTCTGTGATCTCCAGTGATGAACCCACTGCTTGCTAGCCTGAGCTCCCAGCTCTGGGTGGTGCGTTCCACACTCCTTCACTCCACTGGGCACCACTGAGTGTTTGAGCAGACATAGCCAGATGTGCTGGTTACACTGCATTCCAGAGGCAGGATGGCATAAATTAGTTTCTAATGGCTCAGACGAGTAAGCGTGCCCCACCAAACACCTCACTTACCAGAAGGAAATGAGTTATGCAGTAGGGACCACTCTTCATTAACCAATATGAGTTAAAGGGTTGTGTGTTCAGAAGCTATTCAATGGCTTTCCAAATGGCACACATCTTACTTAACCTTTGCAAACAGAGGGCCAGTCAGATTTTGAATCTGAGGAGGAGTTAAGGTTATCCGTTACAGCCACCCATGAGCTTTCTTGGAAAATATATTGCTGTCTGTGCAGGGAAGGACTGCATGACTGGGTATTTAATGTGACAACCATTCGTGCTTTGCAAGGGCAACACAAAAAGGAGATTTTTAGAAGGTTTGCTGGTCTCTGATGGTTTCACAAATATCAAGAATGACATTTCCATTAAAAATGGCCCAAATGCTTTCATTGCATTTTAAGAACCTCAGACTTCAGAAAGAAGCCAAGATGTCTCTCTGTCAGTTCCAGTCGACCAGCAGTCACTGTCAAAGGCAATATCTAAATGGCTACAAGATGTGTTCTGATTCCATACATGTCAAAAGGCAATTCCGAAATGTAACACCAAAAATTTTAATAACTTTTTTTCTGCCTGAAAATGAATATATACATTTATATTCTCCTGTGTATTAGTAAATTGTTGAATTTTTAGGAGTATTAATACTGTGTTATCTTTACCAGAAATAGCAATTACTATAATGGGCATTTGCATAGCATGTCATGTTTAAGAGTGTACTTCTTCACGTTCTAATTTGATCTTTATAAAGCGTTTGTGAAATAGAAAGGAGTCCATTATCTTCCATTTATTTTACAGATTGGGAAACTGTAGATAAGAGAAGTTAAAGTTAAGAATCTGCACTGAATTTCTGATCCTTGATGATAGTCTAGTTTTGAGAGTCATGGATGTCTGGGTTGGACAAAAACTTGGTCCAACTTTGATTTTAAAAAATTTGAAATATTAAACTCTCATACATCTATTCTGCTATGAGTTAGTTAACTAAGAAAGTCACAATTTGACCTCTAGGACCTATGACAAGGAGAACACCATGTGGTTGATCAAGAGGGCCGAGTGAGCTATTTTGTAACTTAAATATTTCATCGTAGATATTGCTCATGGATAATGAACACAACTAGCCGCTGAGAGAAAGAAGGCTCAGTGGTGTCCTGGTGCAAAAGTCACAGAGGGTTCTAGAGTTTTGTAGTGGGGTCCCAGTGACCTTGGCACTGTGCAAAAGCTGTGGTCAGAGAGATGACTAGAGAGCCCAGAAGAGAATTCACAGGTGAGTGGTATTGTGAAGCAATGGCAAGCTGGGATGTGGGCTTGGTTTTGCAAAGCTCTGCTTCTCTCAATTTCATGTACCTAGGAAGCGCACTTGGATCTTGTTAAAATCCAGATTTGAATTCAGCGGATCTGCAGGGAGGCCTAAGCATCTGCATTTTTTTTTTTTTTTTTTTTGGCAGCCTCCTAGGTAACACTATTGATGCTGGTCCACAGACCATCTTTGAATAGCAAGATTATAAAGAACCACACCAGGAACCTAGCTTCCCTCTAACCCCAGTTCAGCCACTTCTACTTCTTGGCTTACAAGTCCCAAGAGCTAGCTTATGAGATGGGAATGGAGTAATCTCCATTGTTTTATTTTACCAGTCATTTATCTTCTCCCCAGAGAAAATACTACTTAGTGTCTGCTGCTCGATGCCATTCCAATCCATTGCCGAGAAAGAGAAATATAACTCGTAGACACAGAGACTGTGTATCCACAAATGAAAACATGTTTCTAAAATCCGAAAAGAGCAGTCAAGATATACAGGTATTTCTGAGAGATAAAGCTTCATCCCTCATGCAAACAGGTGACCAAAATATTTCCTTTTTTTTTTTCAGTCAGAAAAACAGTAGAATAGACCTGTGCCTTTGCAAGTAGGAGAGCCCCTGCCTCTACTATGCTCCCCTCAAATCCAACTCCTAGTTCAACACAGGCTTTTACTCAAAATGGCTCTGTTTACAAGTGGCAAAGCTGAGTCACAGTGAACTCTGTGGCCACACGACGCATCCATCTATGCATGTGGATATTCTAATGTATTCTGTAATGAAGAAGATCTTGTTTTAAGATCTTCTGAGATGTTCTTCCCTCATTAATATGTAGAGATTTTTATTATTCACAGATTGCATATTTGCGAATTCACCTACTCACTGAAATTTATTTGTAACCCTCCAAACGAATACTCACTGTTGCTTTTTCAGCAGTTTGCAAACAAATGCAGAACAACCAAAAAATCTAAAGTTGCCCATCTGCCTTCCCAGGTGAGGTTGAATAAGGCACGAGGCTGTACCTGCGTCTCAGTTCTCATACTGTAAACAAGTCTCCTTCTCGTGGTCTATTTTTCATGGTTTTGTGCCTTTTGTTAGTGATTTTACTGTTTAAAATGGCCCCCAAGAGTAACGTTGGAATCTTATCTAGTGCCTCTAAGTGCAAGAAGGCTGTGGTGTGCCTTTTGGAGAAAAATCTGTGTGTTATATAAGCTTTCTTCAGGCATGAGTTTTGGTGCTGTGGGCCATGAGTTCAATGTTAATGCATCGATATGTATATTAAACGGCTTTAAACAAGAACATATGCAAAACAAGGTCACGTATTGATTAGTTGATGAAAACGTTGTAATCAGACACTCATGGGCAGCTAGCCCTGTATTTCTCTTAGCAGCAAGCGTTCAGTATTTGCTAATTCAGTGTTTGCAGTGACTTCATAGAATATAACTACTGTGAATAATGAGAATTGATTGTAGTTGCATATATTACAACCTGCAAATTCAAAGAAATCAAAGTAACTTAGGATTAAGCATATAGGCTCTGAGTGCAAATTCCATTTTTACCGTTTGCTACCTGGGAGCACTTCTGCTTCCATTTCCTCCCTGCAATAATATCTCATTCATAAGACTGCGGTGAAGTGTAAAGGAATTGGTGCATCCACAGAAACTCACACATAGGACACATTTAAAATAAGATCTGGGCAGACAGAAAGCACTCAATATAAGAGCCGTCACTATTGTTGATTATTTTATAGAGCACGAAACATAGGAAAGCTCCAGAAAAGTGTGTAATGTCACACAATAAGCAGCTGAGCTGAGCTAGGAACACAGTCCTGAGTTTAACACCAAATTCACAGGGGAAGCCATCCAAGAGAGGAGTGAGACGTGTCTGGAACATGTATACAGCATATGGCTGGCCATTGCCCTAAATATAGAGTTACGGGCTGCGTGTTGAAAGGCAGGATGGGATGGGCCAATCAACAAGGGACGTGAAAAGGGGTGCCTTTGTGGGACTGCAGCCATTTCAGGTGTCAGATCTGAGACCCCTTGGTTTTGCAGCTTTTTATAGAAATGTCTGTGGAAACATAATGGTAGACAGGGGTGACCATAGTTCAGCATTTCAGACATATCATCTTTTCTCTCTAGTGCTGCAGGGGTTATGCTACAAATTGAAAGATCTAGCTACATGAAACGGAGCTGACACATTGAGCCAGGAAGTCTTTTCTTCTGCAGAAAGCTCTGATCTTCAAGTTAGCCAATCTGGAAGGGGCAGATTTGACAAGAATAATTCCACATTCTACACTTGCAGGGATTGCAGGCATAGCAAGGGAATGAGGACCACAGCTGGGATTGAGGAGCTAGGAAAATAAAAACCCTAAAAATCTCAAATGTGAAACTAGGCTAGAGATAGGAGAAACTGGACATAAGATATCCCGGGCACTTCCCACCTCTGCCAGTGGGGCAGCTTCACGCTTAGAGTTGGGAGTGGGCTCCTTGGGGTGAGAGGTGCTTGGAAGGCATCCCTTTTAGTCACTACTCTCTGCACTGTGCTAACACATGCCCTCATTCTGATGTGGCATCCCACCCCAGTGAGGGGGCCACTGTGTTGCTTTTAGAAGCAGCCTCTTAAAAATACTCACCCAGGCCGGGTGCGGTAGCTCACGCCTATAATCCCAGCACTTTGGGAGGCTGAGGCGGGTGGATCACCTGAGGTCAGGAGTTTGAGACCAGCCTGGCCAACGTGGAGAAACCCCATCTCTACTAAAAATGCAAAATTAGCCAGGCAGGGTGGTGCATGCCTGTCATCCCAGCTACTCGGGAGGCTGAGGCAGGAGAATCACTTGAACCTGGGAGGCAGAGCTTGCAGTGAGCTGAGATCGTGCCATTCCACTCCAGCCTGGGCAACAAGAGCAAAACTCCATCTCAAAAAAACAAAACAAAAACAAACAAAAAAACTCACCCAGCTTTGCAAGGGGGAAGGCGCTGAAAGGTGGATCACTTGCCTTCTGGTATTCTAAGAGGGATGGCATGGATGCAGCAGAGGTTTTGCTAAGGATCAAAGAGGAAAGGGAAATCATTTCCAAGAAGAGAGCTAATAAGATAGAGGAGGATTATGAGTAAGTGTTTTAGGCACCCGATGGGGAGCTAAAGATAAAAAAGAATACTAAGTTAGAATTTTTAAAAAACAACCTGCTGAAGGAGAAAAAACAGTTATTACTGTGGGATGATGGGAACTGCTTTTCTAGAAAACACAAAGGCCTCCTTTCATTTAATGCCCTTAGCAGTCCTAGGAAGCAGGTCTGAATTCCCTCATTTTACTAGAAGAAAAACAGGCTCAGCAAAATTTTAAAACTTACTCAAAATTATACAGGCAGTCAATGGCGGAGGACAGATTCAAACACATATCTGTAGGATTTGAAAGCTTCGGCTCTTTGCACACAAAAACCCCACAAAGAACAACAATAAAAGCTAATATTTATCAAGCACTTTAGAAAGTGCCAACCACTCCTTTACAGATTTTATATGCATCAATTAATTCAATCTTCACAGCAATATGATTTATACACAATTATACCTACTTCATGAATTCAGAACCTGAGGCTTAGAGAAGGTAAGTAACTTGCTAATAATCATTACAGCTCTGAAAGGAGACCTTTGAGGGACAACTGCCAGGGGTAAAGAGAGATTTTAACTAACATTTGAATTGGTATTTACACAAAGTCTTGATGAGTGGGTACTGGGGAGTGGCAGGAAGAGGTGGTGATCTGAACTGCAGGGAGCGGACGCTTGACTACTGTGAGGACTCCTGACCCTGCCATGTTGTCACCGGGAAAATGAAGAATGAGCTAAGCCAGAGCAGCGGGACTGGAGGAAACAGCCTTACATAGAGGAAGAGAAAAATCAGGCCAGGATACTGGGAGTGAAGGTGGGGAAGCGGAGGGAAGAGGGGACCCTAGCGTCTTTGCAGCTCAGCTCAGTGGCACTAAGCAAGATGCCTGCCATGAGCCAGATGCAGGACAGGAGCTGGGTAGGTGGGAGGCATAGTCCATGGAAAGTCATCTCACTGCAAAGCCAAAGAAGTGGTTCTGAGGCCCACTCAGAAGAGGTCTCCATTTTCCCAGGAACTAAAGTCTAGAAGGAGAGAGCTCAGGGCAGCCTGGAGGCCGCAAGTGCATGGAGCAGGTGCCACAGCCTCAAGGACTGGGCATAAGGCCTGGAAGTCAAGGACACAGAGAGGGCCCCAAAAGGCACCTTTTCTGAATTAAAGCTGCACTGAGCTAAGGAGTAGCATAGGGCAGTGGCCTCCTCAATGGTTTGTCCCCCATCCCCTGGCCATGGGGACAGCTCAGGGACAGCCTGATCACATACTGGACCAAAGCTACTGGAGGTGGCAGAGGCATTTGCCTGGAGTGAGGAGCAGGTGGAGGAAGGGAGAGCTCTGACCCAACATATAGATGCTGGCAGCAAGGAAGGCCTGACGTTTGCCTCTCATGGGTGGCGGCCAACATCTGTCTTTCTGTTTCCCCAAAGCAAGAGGCTTCCACCACATGCTTTTACTAAGGATGGCTCTGTTTACAAGTGGTAGAGCCGAGTCCCAGTGATGTCTGTGGTCAAACGATGCATCTGTCTGTGCATGTGAATATTCCAGTATATGCTCGGTCAAACGATGCATCCGTCCCTGTATGTGGATATTCTAGTGTATGCTGTAACCAAGAAAGTCTGTTTCCTGTCCAGCTCTCCAGATCTCAACGGAACATCCCCTTTCTCTGACTCTCAGCTCCCGGGCATAGATGCATCTTGTGCTGGCTGAGCCATGTAACTCCAAGTACGATTTATTTTAAGAGAAAATTGCCCACCTTTTAGAGTAAATAAACTTAAGAGCAGAACCCAGCAACTTCATTTCCACTTCCTAGTGTAGCAACTGAAGAGTGAGCTTCTTTCAGCTTCAATTGCTCTTCTCAGAAAGTTTTTATTTGGCTTAATAGAAGAAAGCACAGTTTCTAGACCAAAGAGGAAGAAAATAAGACAAGGCAAGGCAAGTAAGTAAAGGACATTTCAGCTCTGACTTTTTTAATCTCCCTCCCTCTCTCTCTTTCTCAGTTTTATTTGTATTCCTGCCAGCAGTCGATTACTATATATCGTAAGAAGCGTCGTTGTAATAGGTAAAGGCATGGTATACAAATGACAAAGGAGGAATGTAACAAAATGAACTAAAATATGCATCTAAAGCCATTGTTGTAAATAATATATCTTATAATAAATATCCACAGGGGAGCTGGGAGATAAAAATAGCACCACTGTGTGAAATAAGGACTGTGATTTATTTTCTGTAGAAGCTGCTGTTTCTCTGCCAGTGAGAAAAGATGCTAACAAAAGAACGCACTAAGCATGGTCCCTTAGATATCTTCCCTTTGTGTGGCATGTGTTGTATGTTATGTAAAGAGTTCACTTTGCCCACCTACATGCTTGATTTTTTTTTTTTTTTTTTTTTGGATTAAAGGAGACCATCCTACGTGGAGCTGTCAGGCATCAGTCAATGTGGGTTGAAATTAACCATAGTGAGTGACGCTCAAGTGGGTTTAATCTGAAGGGAAAATGAAGACAATATACTCCAAAGAAATTTAAATGGTGGCATATACATGATTTATTTTCCAAAGCTTTAGTTCAAATAACCAACAGGACAGGAAAAATGAAAGAATAAAAGGTTGTACATTGTATTTGCTGCAATATAGGTGTCTCAACTTAATGAGGCTCCTGGATTCTAGTTTGCTTCTGAATATCACCAGGGGTGATTATAGCTTGCAAAAGTATACTAGAAAAAGGCATGCCTTCCTATGTCTTGGGCTGTAATTAAAGCCACAAGCCATCAGATAGCGAAGAGGCCAGCTGCAGCCCTTCAAACCTTTAGTACCCTGCCATTAAAAATAGATTACAGCACAAAATATGTACCAAAAATAATCCCAATAAAAAATTTGCACATTTGATTACTATAATTGATTTTTTTTCTTCTAGATATGAATAAATGACCCAGGCTAAATGCCAGTTCCTTGCAAAGAATTTCATTTAAGCTTCACTGAATTGAAAAGGCTCAACCAGACTCAACATTTCCAACTTCCTAGCAAGCAGCAGAAAATCTACCTGACAGTTGCTATGGAGACACGAACAGGAAGAGTGAACCACCAGCCTATAAATCCACAGAGAAACCTTTCTTAATTGGAAGGCCTTTAACCCACACATTTTTCTCATAGCTGCAGAGCTTATTTCTAAAGAGATTATTAAATTCCTCAATTGACTTATGAAGGATGCTTCCCACTATATTACTGTGCTTTGGGTTGCGATTTTTTATATCTGTTTCCAAAATTACAAAACAGACCAGGGATAATAAAAGTTAACACAGATGTTTCAATGAAAAATCCATATGATGTTCCGAAAATAACTTCAGCGGCAACGCTGAACAAAAAGGATTCCAATACAAGAACCAAGATGGTGTAGACCTGTTTGTTTCAAAGCTGTATCTAAGTCACCAAACTTCTTCACTCCCCCTGATTTTGACATATTAATGCAGGTGGAAAATCCTGACAATATTTCCTAATGTTTAAGAAGGCTGACCAAGCCAGAAATATGAATAAGTGAGGTGTTGGGATATGTTAATTTTATGCTCACCCTTGATTTTTTAAAATGTTCTTTGCTATTTGTTAGCAAATACTAACTAGTATGTGGCTGGCTGAACAAGAAGCAAACACAGCTAAACAGCTCAGTGAATCTCAATTACATTGGGGTAGTTTTGGTTAACTAATCCATTCTAGTAAGCCCTCACTTAATGTTGTCTATAGGTTTCTGAAAACTGCAACTCTAAATGAAACTGTGTAGAGTGAAACTAATTTTTCCATAGACTAATTGATATAAACAAGTTACGGTTCTGTGGCATATTTCTGGCCACGAAAACAACACCAAACGTCCATACAAAGACCAAAACCCTTCTAACATTAAACATTAAGCTAAATGTGAGCTAACTCATATTTTTTAAAGATTCATAAAAACAAGTCAGAGAATTATTTACCCATTTATTACAGTTCAGAGTCAACCTGAACAGGACCCCATCCCACTGCAGGGCTCACTCACACACACACCCATACTCACACAGATAGGGACAGTTTAGACACATCAATTCACCTAACATGCATATCTTGGCGACGTGGGAGCAAACTGGAGTCCCCAGAGAAAACCCACATAGATGTGGGGATAATGTGCAAACTCCACAGACAGTGGCCCAAGCAAAGAATTATTATTATTTTTTTTTATCATCAATGTTGTAATGAAACTCTGTGCAATGAAATGACCACATTGGAGGACCTGCTGTATGGGATTGAATTTTGTCAAACAATCTACGTGAGGAGTGAGGGTTATGGCAGAGAGAGCCGAATATAGCAATCTACCCATGTCCACAGTGCAGCCTTCTCTCCTTCCTTTTGGCTGTATTAAAGAATCGTTCCTCCTCCTCCCAGCCTAAGCTAAGGCCCTGCTTGCATCCAGTTCCCACCTCCTTTGGCTCCCTGAGATGCCTTCCTATAGGTACCTCCACTTTCTCCCCTGTTCCTTCTTCAACCTTTCCTTCACTCCTGCCGTTCTCATCCTCAGTATGTAAATACGCTTTGGTCTCTTCCAACCTAAAAAACACAAACCAGCAAAGCCTCTCAATCCCGTGCTCCACTTTCGTACTGCCCTCTCTTTCTTCTCTCCTTTCAGCCTGGTATTTCTTAAGAGGAAAGTTGCTCTCCTTCCTGTCTCTCCTTCCTTACTTTCTGTCCTCCCTTCAGTTCCCTGGAAGATGTTCCGACTCCCGGCAACCACACTCCGCCCTCAGAGTGACTGTCTTCTCATCCAGCATGCTGGATGATGACACCTGCTTTCTTGATGCCAACTCTTTTCTTGATTCCATGATAGGGCATTGTCCTGGCTTGTCTTCCATCTGTTCAGTTGTTCAGCCTCTGTCTCCTGGGTGAACTTCCTCAGGACCTTCCATGATTCTCTTCTTCTCTCACTTTGTACCTCCCTTGGGCACTCTGACACCCTCCCATCGTTTCCATTACAGTCAATATGTGAATGACTCACAAACATTTATTTCAACCTCATAAAAAGCACGATAAAAAAAAATCTACCTCCTTAGGTTGTTGAGAGCATTGGAGACAACATTTAAAACTTGTCTGACACATTCCCAGAACTCAGCAGAAATGTGAGCTATTATTAGTATGTATTTGAGACACCTTCAAGTCAGCATGTGCAAAGCGGAACTGACTTCTCCTCACAGTGTTCCTTCCCATTGATTCCTTCTCTGTAAATCTCCTACTATTTTTTTTTTTTCTGAGACAGAGTCTTACTCTGTCACCCAGGCTTGAGTGCAGTGGCACGATCTCAGCTCACTGCAAACTCTGCCTCCCAGACTCAAGCAATTCTCCTGCCTCAGCCTCCCAAGTAGCTGGGATTACAGGTGCCCATGACCACACCCAGCTAATTTTTGTATCTTTAGTAGAGACAGGGTTTTGCCATGTTGGCCAGGCTGGTCTCGAACTGTTGACCCCGTGATCTGCCCGTCTCAGCCCCTATTTATTCTTTAAGCACATTTTAATCACCATTTCCACCAAGAAAGCCTCCTTATCCTTGATTCAGGGGCCTCTCTTAAGGTCTATCAAGGCATGCTGTATTATTAAAGTTCACATCCTACTGCAATGTAATTGTCTATTTACTTGTCTCTTCATTTTAAGAGGGCAAAACTGTACAGTTTTATTCATTATTTTATCTCCAGCAAATACGTATTGAAACACAAATGAATAAAAGTGGATCTGCACATAAAATAAACCATTAAATAGAAATACCTTAACTTACTCCTTCATGGGTACCCTGAGAAGTTTTTCGTAACTTATTGTTTCATCCTTTCTTTTATGAAAACCTAGTTTGTGCCAATTAACCTTATGGAAGTGTCCAGTACTACTTTTGTTCTAAACAATTACATTGGAGAACATGAAATTTTCAAGTAATATAGGGGGTTGCAAAGTATGCTGAAAGGTTAAACTTCTGAAGCCTGCAAACATACAGGCATCTACACAGACAATATTTTCTTAGCCTTCAGACTAAAATCTCTCTTCTGAGAAACTTATCCAGTGTCTATTCTGATCACTAATCATCTGTAGAAAAATAGTCTTTCTTTGAAACCATCTGTTTTATGATGTGGACAAAGCCTTTCCCTGGTGAATCTGTGTCCGGATGTTCTCAGACCATGTTTTTAAGGACTCACATGCTGCTGCCACTGGGGGTCTGGGCACAGACTCAGAGTTTTTAGTCAATGAGTTCAGGTTGCATTCGAGGGAGAAGAAGTCAAGGGAAAGGGTAATAGGTAACCTCCATCTGACTATTGCTACAGAAGCAAAAACACCTGAGGTCAGTGTACACATACAATTATCTTGAGACGAATGTGGGCAAAGTACTGTATCTGGAAGCCCTCCGGACTTGCAGGGAGAAGCATGCATATTCACAAAGCCTCAGTACATTCACACATTCCTGAGGCTGTCCCCTGGCAGCTGGCTTTCTCATTCAAAGACTCCATTTGTGTTTAGTTTCACATACCTCCAACTTATAACACTTTAAAAGAGCCAAGTTGAAACAGGTAGAAAAAAAGGCCAGCATGTGTTATTCTGATCCCTTCATCCAATAGAGAGAAACCACAGAAATTTCCATGACAGTCCACTTGGGGAAGGTATACGCCACTCTGGAGCTCTGATGGGCAAATTGTCTGATTTTGAACCTAGCTTCACCTCTTGCTGGTAGTGTGACTTTGGGAAACTTTATTGAGCCTCAGCTGCCTCCCCTGTGAAGAAGGAACAAGCCTTAGGGGATTATTGACAGCATTATATGAAGTTATATAGATAAGATTCTTAAGGTCAATAAATGTTCAGTAACATGGAGCTACAGAAGGGATGAACCAAGCACATCTCGTCTACATGAGGTCATCTCCAGTGAACACTGCTGCTAAACCTTCCATTGCATTGATCAAAGGGATGGGTGGATGAATTGGGTCATGTATTGTTTTACCACCTGGGACATCATTGAGGATTTGAACGCTAATAACTGTTAGCTATCTCTTTAGCTCTGATCCTTGTCAGAACACATAATTTCAAAAGTACCTTTCGCAGCAGCTTGTTTTCAGTCTCCTCTCTAACATTTAGAAATAAAAATGTTAACTTGTTTATTGAAAAAATATAAAATGCTAAAGCAACCTTAGTGACATATCTGTATATTGCAGGATAATTATGTATTGGACAAAAAGTAATTCTTCTGTATAAACTGCAGAGTCAGATTTTTTGTTTGCCTGTTTTGTTTTTCTCTGAAAAGAAAAAAAAAAAAGCCAAAAGCTTATGTCTAAGTAAGAGTGAATGTGGAAGTCTGGTTGACTGATTTGATCACTCCTCTGCAATTTACCTATGGACATTTGCCATATGATATTGTGGCACATATTCTCACACCAGTTAATTTAATCTCCACCATAACATTGAAACACATGTGGGGGTTGGATATTATTTCCATTTCTACAGATGAGGACTAAAACTCAGAGAATTTTCATAATTTCACCAAGAATTAGGCAGAATCAAGATTCAAACCCAGCTGACTGATCATTAAGAGTATTCTTTTTTATGACATGACCTAGTCTCATAATGTAATACTACTTCACCTTTTTAGTATTACAGTAGTTTTATAATCTCATGTTCTCTATTCTTCCTCCTTCCCTCCCTTCCTGTCTCCTTCCTTCCTCTTTTTTCACATGCATATCATCCCTACCTGAAATACCTGCGTTTCTGCCTAATTTAGTAAGTTTAGTATGTCTTCTATCCTCAAAGACTTTTGAAAAGTATCATTGCTGAAGAGTGCAGTGTTCTCACTCCAAAACCACTGTCTTAGCTTTACTCACCCCTTTCTGCCCAAACTTAAGCACAAATCCTAAGTATAGGTAAGAAAACGTGCATGCTTTATTCCTATCTTCCTTTTCAATTTTAGCTTCATGTCTACATTGTGTAAAGTCATATATAGATGTATATATGAATATGTATAGGTATATATGTATATGCATAAACATACATATATTTGTGTGTGTGTATATATATTATATATACATATATATACAAAATCATGGACTAGGAGACATCAAAACTTTGGGAATATAAACTTTATCACAAATCCAAATCTGGTTTATAAGCTTCAATATCCAACATTTCACAAGTAGAATTTTCTCCTAGTAGTAAATAAGATACACATATAGGCAATACTTTAAAAACTGTTTTTCAATGGTTGACTACACAGATAACACAAAAAAAACAAATTGAGAGAACTAGAAAGTACCACTATCTATAGCTTGGAAAACAAAATGTTTTGAGTAAAAGAGGGGTCATATGACACGCTTGCTGGCTTCAATCAACCTAAGGACCCATCTCTAAGATATATCTGAAATAGAAAAATAATTATGGTTTTTTTTTAAAAAAAACCTCTTGCTGTCATTTTTATGTGTGTGTGACTTATTCTTCTAAAGAACCCACAAATTTCTATTCCTTTAACTTGTTTCTCAAAGAGGACTTAATGAAAATAAGAGAAGACATACTAGTACCATCACCTTTATTCATTAAAAATTATTTGGAAAAGTAAATTTGTCTTGACATTCTTTCCTTCCCCTCCCTGTTCCCAAAAAAGAAGCTATGCCAAGTGCAAGGATACAGTGTTATTTATAGAACTGAACGAATCGTATTCTTACAGTACCTAAGCCTCTCAGTTGCTTTAGCAACCTGGGGAGCTATATTAACTCTGAGAGGTTCTGTCTCCTCTGCAGTGTTCAAATTGCTTCAAAATGTTAAACTCAATCTTCTTCAGTTGCCCTTAACAATGGGATGGGATAAGGAATTAATATTTTTGAGACTTACAATATTCCTGGGAAAATAGCTACCTTAGAAATGAAATCTACAGATGAAGTAACTTTCCTGCAATCACAGAAGTAAGTTAGGATTCAGAGCCAGATCTATTCACAGTATCATCTGATCCTTGTGTTCTTTTATAGACATAATTAATTGTTTACATAAAATGCATTTGTATTTTAGAATATATCATTGGTTCCAATTTTCAGTGATTTCAGAGTCACTTGCACTGGGCAGTTTTCTACTAACAATTATATTTAACAAGTTGTTTGAAGGCATTGGAGAATGACCCAATTCAGATAGAAGCTGGAAAGGATTTGACTCTTGAATGAAGGAAAACAATATGGGTGGAATCTGGGCAACACAGTTTTCCCCTGAAGACAATCCCCAATTCCCCCTACCAGGGATGGATACAATCTACCATGGAAACACAATTTTATTAGCCTGATGAGGTAAAGGATAAAGTTAGGGGATGCAAGGTAGCTGGAAATTGAGAGGGGTAGATGGAATCCCAGAAAGAATAGAACCACAGAAGGAAGAACCCCCAAATTGGCCTATAAATACATTTCAAATACCTTAAACCTTGAACAGTGTATTTGTGAGATGAGACACCAAGGGGCTCAGGAGAAAAGAGCCACTTAAAGCTGAGACAGTGGAAAGAGATTTTAGTAGCTCCCCACCACACAAGAGACGGAAGTATGATAAGAAATCAGGTCCCACTAGGTTACAGAGGCTTGGAAAATGTTTTGAGCTTTTCACTGAACTCTCAAAAGAGTTAGGAGTACCACATACAAAACTAAAGGAGTCACACAAGAATTAAGGGAAAAAACAGAATAGACCTACCTTAACAAAGCTTGAAACAAAGTATCTACCAGTTCAAGTTGATTTGTGGTATTTAACTCCTACTAGAATGAAACCCTTCATTCCTTTGAAAAAGATAATAGAATTCAGTCTCACCAATATATCATCCATAATTTAATTTTTTTAATGAGAAGATATACAAAAAGTAAAATCAGTCTGTAAAAATAGACCTTCAGATGAATCAGATGTAGAAATTAGCAGTTGGGATTTTTTTTTTTTTAAAAAATATGACGAATCTAATACATAATCTATAGAAATAATGAATTTAAATATATAAGTAGAAAAACATGATAACAAGAGTACGAAAGAAAGAAGGAGGTGTAAAATTCCTATGTTAATCAGTAAGTGATATAATATTAATGCCAAGATAGATTTTGCTAATGTGGATATCTGTACTACAATCCTAGAGAAAAAATGTTTAAAAAAATACAAAGCAATTTGGGGAAGAAACAAGTAGAGGAAATGCAATGGAAAAGCAAAATATTTTGATTAACCAAAATAAGACAGGTAAGGAGAATTAAGGAACAAATAATGGAGAGGAAAATGAGAAAATAATAATTATCACATTCATAATTGCATTAAATATAGACATAATATACCTTTTACCTATCCTGAGCTCCTCCTCCAAATGTTTCAAGGCATATTAGCCATAATTATCACAGGCTTGACATTTTTAGCAACTACTTATAGTGAAGATCTGCTTATCAAATTTATGAATGACTGAAAGCTGAGAAGTTTACCCGTTTGATTTGCTAATAAAGTCACTGTAAAGAGGCACCAACCAACCCTCTTCATAACCCTGGATCAGAAAGATGGGCTAAACTTAACAAGATGAAATAAGTTATAGCATAAGGGAGACCTAGATTAACAATAATTTGTATGAAAAAGACTGTAAGGTCAGTATGGTCTAACAGGACCTGCATCAGGTAATATTAGCAAATACTCACTTGGGCTGCAATAAGAGAACAGGGTAAGGGAGTCAATGAATAAGTCAGCTTTCTGGGCATCACATAGACCAATGCGTGCAGTATTGTGCTCAATCCTGGGTTATGTGAAGGGGGATATTATCGATTAGAATACATGAAGAAGAGAATGAATACGATAAGTGATACATGAGGTATTAATGTCCATCAAGGGTAAATCTATATGACAAGAGAACAATTCAGCTGGTTCTGAAAGTCTGCATGGAGATATACTATTTGAAGGACAATCGTGAGAAAATTACATTAGTTTTTAGTTTTCTGTGTAGCTTTAAAAGCTCCTGCCTCATCTCTGTTTCTAAAACATCACGTATACACAGTATGACACATGGTGTTATAACATGTGCACACCAGGTAGAAAGAGAGATTTTGTGCAAGCGTCATTTAATGAGGTGCTGCTTACTTGACCTGTGTTCTCTGGGTACCAGAATCTTGGGTGCTATTATATAACTATCATTGTTTTTTTTACTCTGACCTTTCTCATGGCCATTAGTTGACTAACATGAGATATTCAATACATGTGTTTCAAAATAATGGATGGAATCTCTCCATATATCTTGCGTGTGTGTTGGATATACATGCGTATGCATCCAGCTTTGTCTCCAGCAGTCAACTGACATGACCATTTGATGGATGTGACTATGAGAATTGTCTCTGACCTTGGGCCATCTAGAGTTCCTTACTTCCTTGGTGGATTCTGCTTTAGTTCATCTTCTGTGTGACCCTAAATGGAGGATGGTGTTAATATGGTTACTCTCTTCAGTCAAGTCTCAGCTGTAAATTCCAGACAATCTTTGGCTTCCAACAATTATTCAACTTCCAACATATCAACACATAGAATCTATATTTATTTAGTTCTAGATATTGCTGTTTTTTTTTTTTGTTTTTTTTTTTGTTTTTTTTTTTTTTGAGATAGAGCCTCACTCTCTCACTCAGGCTGGAGTACAGTGGCATGATCTTGGCTCACTGCAACCTCTGCCTCCTGGGTTGAAGCAATTCTTCTGCTTCAGCTTCCTGAGTAGTTGCGACTACAGGTGCCCACTACCACGCCCGGCTAATTTTTCTTTTTAGTAGAGATGAGGTTTCACTATGTTGGCCAGGCTGGTCTTGAACTCCTGGCCTCAAGTGTTCTGCCTGCCTCAGCCTCCCAAAGTGCTAGATATTGTTCTTTCTACTTTGCTTTTGCCTCAGTACTAACAGAATATGTGCATTTATATTTACATGGACATTGAAAGAAAATGAAGCTCCTGTAGAAATGACTTCTCTCTTGCAGCATGGCAAGGCGGCTAGGAGTGCAAACTTCAAGAGTCAGACTGCCACCATGGAAATCCGGACCTTGCTGCATATCGGCGGCAGAAACTTGCACGTGTTATTAACCTCTTTTGGTTCCAGTACTGACCTCAAAGTGTTGTGCTAGTAACAAAATGATTTAATAATATAAAGTGCTTAGAGCACTGTCTAGCATATAATAAGCAGTTATTATTTTTATTCGTCTCTGAATAAATACATCTGGAATGCCATCTGGCAAGAGTTTTTACATAATATACTGGTCATCAGTCAATGTGCCTCTGGAAGCAATGTATTTAGGCAAACCCTTGGTTTTACTGCACAGACTTTTTTTTTGCATCATGCTTGGTAAACATAAGTGTTATAATGACTTGTCTTGATGTCCTTTGTTCTCTACTAATTTGAGAGCTTCTTGAAGTTAGGGACAAGGTCTTACATTAACTAGAATAGAGCTAAAAAGTGCTCAATAAAATCTTCTTGGATAAATAATTTTTGAAGTTAGAGAGAAACACCATTCATTTAATTTAAGAAAGAAATAACAAGTTGTACCAAAATAGGTACTTCCATTTTATTGACTACAAAAGGCTGTAATCTATGTATCAAGAATATTATAAAGAGATTCGAATGCTGGATCAGAAATTTAAAAATCACCTCCCTCTATTTCTAAGATTTTACTCCTCTGCTTTCTATTCCTTGAACACACAAAAAAACTTACAATTAACCAAGCATTGCACTAGGAAGTGGGAGAAGAGCCAGGTATCACAAGGAACTTTCTAGACTGAAGATAAATAAGCGAATAGTTTGAGTAAATAACCCAAGCTTTAATAGAGGTAATCAAGTCTGTCCTAAAATATCAGTCAAATGGGAGGTCACCTGAAGAAGTGAGTATTGAGATAAGTAATGAAGGATAAGGGCAGCCAGCTTCAGGGATGTCTTGCAGGCAAGAGCATTGGAACTTTCACATTAATAAGCTATTAGGTGATAGAAGCTATGGCTGTAACCCCATTTCTCAGATGGGAAACTAAAATATAGAGAAACACAAAGAATGTCTTATTCTAAGGGTTTATTAGTGATAGAATCAAGAAGAATGTTCAATACTTTAAAGTTCCATCCTCCATTCTACATAGTTGTGTCTTTCCATAAGCACATGATAATTTTAGAGCTGATTCTGTACCTCTTCTAAGATTTAACTCTATTGTATTAAAATTAAACAGTCTTCATAATAAGAAACAGTAACATACATTCCAATTAATGTTAATAAAAAATAAAAATTTGCATAATCCCTTCAGGGATGCAGGAACATTTAAATATTTCCCATCTAACATCTATTGACTTCTTAGAATGTGGTGGTTTACCAAAGGGCATTAGTTTGAATGCCCAGACATCTGAGTACAATCTTTTGTTTCTTCTTTTGGTCTAGCTCAGTGGATTATAATGTTAGGGTTTATAAGAGCTGCAATCTTGGCCTACATGCAATCAAATATGCCACACACTAAAATCTATTTATGGAATAATTTGAGAATTCTCAAGATTAATTTGACTGCAGAAAATTTTCACGTTTTGAGCTAACTTTAGATTGAAAACCCACAATCTTTCCTTACTCTGCTGTTGTTTCAGATGTTAGCTATTCGTATTATAATTTCCACGCTTATTAGATGTACTTTTTTTCTTTTAGTTGGGCAGTTATTCCTAAATACCTTTGATGTAGTAGATTGATTTTATTTAACGTTAAAATGGCTAATCACATGGTTATAATGCTCATCCTTGATGTCCCCCCACAATATCCCCTCCTCCTGTGCCTAAATGTGCTTTCCTGCAAATATCTCCAAAATAACTCCTTGTAAAGACCACTTTCTGTATATTGCCACATCCAGAAGGACATTACTGGTAAGAATGGCAGGGAATTTCATTCTTCTCAGCCATTACAAACACTCAAACACCATTATGAAATTGTTTCTAGGAGAAACTTCAAGAGAAGCTTCATGTAAGACCTCCACAAAGCAGACAGTGAAAAACAAAAAGGGTAACTCCTGCACTCCTGTAGCAATTCACATTTGGAAACATACCTTCCCCTCCTATGTGGATGGCTTTATTTGCCTCCCACAGCCTACTCTTTCCTCAAGAAACATCAGTTTTATACCCTTACTTACTCCTTTCTTCGAAACGTACTCCCTAAGGTCAGGGCCAGCTGTGATTTTCAATGACACTTTGGCAAATTCTATAAACTTGCTCATTTAATATATATGGAGAGTGTATCTAGTACACAGAGCCTGAAGAGCTGTAACACTCTCTATAGGACAATCTCTTGCAGCTGGGGTTCCTAGGTGTCCTGTAGCTGTTGTCAAGAAGATTCCCTTGTTGGAATCTTGCATCTGAAGGAGTCAAACGAGAGAGGCAGGACCTGGGCATGCATTTAGAGGGGACTGTGGCAGGAACAGTGTTGTGCAGATCCAGCAGCTTGGCTGGTACTTCCCTGGTTCTACAGCTGTTTGATCATGGTAGAAGCACGTGATAGTTTTTGGTGACTCAGATCTGCAATGTGCTTTTGGGAATCATTCCTGGGAATGAAGCTGCCCCCGCAGGGTTAATGAGAATTACAAGCTGGGCTTTAGGCAGAATTCTAGTTAGGCATTGAACCGGGGACACTAGCTCTCTTTGACTTGCTTCCCTGCTGGAGCTAACGAACCGGGAGTCACATGGCACTCTGACCACCTGCTTCCCCATTGTTCTTACAGACAGAATCTCTGACACCGAACCTTGTTACCTAAAAATTGTTTAAGGTGTTTTTTCAGATCCTGAATTCTAGCAAAACAAATGACGCCAACTGATCTAAAGACCCCCCCACCCAGGAGTCAACTCAGCACAGGAATGCAATCTCTTCATCTCCCTGCCCGTGACTTCACTCCTCACTTCTTGACCAATCAGTGACCCCCATACTTTAGGTTCTATTTCATTTTATACCATTTATGCTCAAACTGCATTCAATAATAAGTGTCTTACTGCTTAAACTATCTAAGATAGATTCTTTTCTCAGAAATGGAACCCTTCCCCACATACTGCAAGAGGGATATTACAGGCAACCCCCAAACTGAGAATTCCTGAAGTGGCGGGGTTCTCAGACTTCTCCGTGTTCTTTGTAGATTTAGCAAACGCTCCTCTGCTTGGTTGAGTCCTGGACAGTTTCACGTGCAAATGTGGTGATAAGATATCAGTGAAAGGACATTTCACTGTGCCTCGCAGGGAGGGAAACTAGTGAAAACACTGACTTTTCCAGCAACACATAACTCTTCTCTAATCCTGTAGAAGAGGGCCACCCCATAGGGCTACAGTGGAAGGATGATGCAAAGTGGCAGGGAAGATCCACCCCATAGGGTTAGGTTGGCCCACAGGACTGGAGAAGAGTTATGCGTTGCTGGAAAAGTCAGTGCTTTCACTACTTTCCCTTCCTGTGAGGCACAGTGAAATGTCCTTTCACTGACATCTGTAGTCACCAAATTTGCAAGTTTTAGGGTAGAATGGTGCCCTTTGACCCTCAACACTGGCATTGGAGAAGCCAATTATCCTCTTCTGATCAAGCCCACAACTCAGAAAGCTCAGTATCATTGCTCAATATTCAGAAAGGCTTTTTCCTCACACATACAGTGCAGATGCTCTACACATTAGCAGGTGAATGTATTTTTAAAAGTGATTGAAGGTGTAAAATATTACCTTAAAAATCACTCCATAGCTTCCCTTTGCAATTTATCTCATTATTCTTTTAGTTGGGCAGTTATTCCTAAATACCCTTGATGCAATTTTATGTTCATTCTTTCTTATCTAGGGCTCGTTAGTATAACCTAAGGTGATTTGGGTTATGTATAAGTCATTTTAATTTGCATAATGAGCCCCAGTGCCTCTCTAGCATGAACTAAGAACTAAGGAAAAAAATTGACAGCTTCAAGAGAGCCAAAAAATTGGTTCTTTTTTTTTTTTTTTTTTTTTTTTGGTTGGGGAGGGGATCCCTTTATAGTCTTCTAATCAGGGCTTGAGGACAATACAAAGTGGCAGAAAAGACCAAGCCAATGACACTAGATTAGAAATTGCACAAAAGTTCACTCCAGGAGGGACAAGATGCCACCTTTGTAGTGAAAACAGGTTTTCCTTTTACACATGACCTTCGAGAAGCCTACAAGGTACTCCCAGATAGAGCTTTAAGGAACAGCTATTTCTATTTGTAGAAAGCTGATCTGAAACCAAGGGCATAAACCTAAAGGAGAGAACATCTCTGAACAGGTGAATTGCTACAGAAATGTAGGGCTCAGATGGACTAGCAGTAGTAATATGCAATTCATACTTTTTTTTCCTCCATAGCAAACATATAATTATCAAAGTGTCCTATATAAATTATGTTCATGACCCCATTTGATGCTAAAGCAAACCTATGGAGTTGATGCTATTATTACCAGTACTTTAGAGATTAGGAAATAAAGGTTGAGAAATCGTTCATAATTTACCCAGGGCACACAACTTGTGAGTAGTTGAACCGGAATTACAACCTAGGCAAATGGACTCCATTGCATGAACTTCTAAGTAGTACACCATACTACCTAGTGTACTTAAGTCTTACCATCTAGGGTGCTCACAGAACTCTACATGGATAACCTGGACCATGGAAGACATACTTTTCAGACACTAGATCAACATACCAATTTGACACCATGGCAAACTACACTAAGCTGTGAGTGACAGTAGCAGCAACCATGTAAGAATATATTATACGTGGGCCATTTCAAAAGGGCAATGGGACACACTTTTGGTGTAGACCTAAAGATTTTCTATTCAGGAATAACTGCCACTTTTTTTTTTTTTTTTTTTTTTCGGAGATAGAATCTCGCTGTATCCCCTAGGCTGGAGTGCAGTGGTGCGATCTTGGCTCAATGCAATCTCTGCCTCCCAGGTTCAAGTGATTCTCCTGCCTCAGCCTCCTGAGTAGCTGGGGCTACAGGCACATGCCACCATGCCCAGCTAATTTTTGTGTTTTTAGTAGAGACGGGGTTTCACCATGTTAGCCAGGAAGGTCTTGATCTCTTGACCTTGTGATCTGCCTGTCTTGGCCTCCCAAAATGCTGGGGTTAGAGCAAGCCACTGCTCCTGGTCTGCCACTTCTTAAGAGATGTCAAGAAACTTATTTTAGAACAAAGAAAAGTTATTTTTTTCCTTTTGATTATACTGCCATCTAATAGATTACGGTCAGATTGCTTTAAACAAAGCCTGTATAAACCTGTGAGGATGTATTTCCAAGCTTCTAACTGTGAATTTAAGTCAAAAGGAATCTGAAAGAATGACACTTGAAGTGACCTGAGACTTTCTTCCACAGATACACCTGCATCAGATGTCACATTGAAAGGATGACAGGTGTGGTGGTGAATTGCCTGCATCAACTTGACTGGGCCACAGGATGCCCAGACACCTGGTTCAACACGGTTTCTGGGTATGCCCCAAGAATGTTTCTAGATGGGATTAGCATTGGAATTGGTGGATTGAGTAAAGCAGATGGTCCTGCCAAATGTATGTGGGCCTCATCCAACCCACTGAGGGCCTGAATAGGACAAAAATGAAAAAGGCAGAGGAAGATTGAATTCTCTCTCTACCTAACTGCTTGAGCTGAAACATCAGTCTAATACTCTTGGACTCAGAATCATACTATTGGCACTCTTGGTTCTCAGGCCTCTGTGATACTGATAGGCTAGGAGAGGCCCCCAGATGCCAGTAGGATCTTAATCCCAGCCGCTGCCCAGGTTCTTGACACCATTACAGTAAGGAAATAAGGAAATCAAGAATGAGTCAGAAAATGGGCAAAGTATGGAGATTTATTGCAAAGCAAAAACTATACACTTTTTTTAAACACTTTTTTTTATATTCAGGAGAATGAGTCACACGATGAAGTCTGGGGCTTCTACCTCTAGGGGTTTCTTTAACCAGGGGGTGGAATATTCATGAAGATTCCTGGAAAAAGATAAAAATTTCTCATAGCTGTGGTGTCACCTATTTTTACACAAAATATAAGTGTTAGTCTATTCTCACACTGCTAATAAAAACATACCTGAGACTGAGTGCTTTATAAAGGAAAGAAGTTTAGTTGACTCACAGTTCAGCATGTCTAGGGAGGCCTCAGGAAACTTACAATCATGGCAGAGGGGGAAGCAAATACGTCCTTCTTTACATGGTGGCAGCAAGGAGAAGTGCTGAGCAAAAGAGAGAAAAGCCCCTTATAAAACCATCAGATCTCATGAGAGCTCACTCACTATTATGAGAACCGCATGAAGGTAACTGCCCCTGTGATTAAATTACCTCCCACCAGGTCCCTCCCATGACAAGCGGGGATTATGGGAACTACAATTCAAGATGAGATTTGGGTGGGGACACAGCCAAACCATATTATCCTGGAACTATCATGTCACTGATGGGTGTGTGCTTTAGTATGTTAATGAGTATAGAATGAAATCCTAGGTGAAACCTAGGCCAAATCCAGTGTCATGTTGAGTCCAGTTTGTCTTAGTCGGCTTGGCCCACACTCTGGTTGTGAGGATCTTATTGGCCCCTAACTTATGGAGCTATTTCAATAGTTTCCTTTTTGCGAGTATGTGAAACTGCTGTCTGGAGTGTTCTATCCTCCTGTAACCATCCTGTATTATTCTTGTCTCATTGGACTCAAACTAGAATTTACAGCATGGATTTTCCTGGTTCTTAATGCTTACTGATGGTAGATCATGGGACATTTCACCTACCGTAATCCTTAAGCCAATTATTTGTAATGAATTTCATTATATATTCATTACATCACATATATTCATTATATATCTAATATATGTATATTAGATATATATTAACTAAATATAAAATATATGTATAATATATATGTAATTATATATGTCTAATATATTATTCAGTGTATATATATCCTATTGGTTAAGTTTCTCTGGAAAACACTGACTAGTACAGTGGTCATCATAATTCTATGATTAGAGTATAGCATGATGTAATTGAAAGAATGCCATTTTTTTGATTAGACAATCCTGAGTTTAAATTCTTGCTCCATCATTTACTAGCTTAGTGAACTTGAATAAATCACTAAATCTTTCTAAACTTTAATTTCCTCAACTTTAATATCCTTAGAAAAAGAATACTACAAGGAAGTTTGATAAAAATATCAAAGAGGTAACATATTAAAATCTATTCACATATAGGTAGATTACCACTCTCTATGTGCGGGATATGTGGAAGCTAAAAATTAAACAAACTGAACTCACAGAGAGAGTGGAATGATGGTTGTCAGAGTAAGGGTAATAGAGAGTGTGGAATAAAGTGGGGGACGGCTAATGGGTACAAAATACAGTTGGATAGAATGAATAAGAGCTAATATTCAGTAGCACAATAGGGTGACTATAGTTAACAATAATTTATAGTATATTTTAAAATAACAAAAAGAATGGAATTGAAATGTTCCTAATACAAAGAACTGATAAATGCTTGAGATGATGGCTACTCCAATTTCCCTGATTTGATCATTATATATTGTATGCCTGTATCAAAATATTACATGTACTCATGTACCCCATAAGCATATATAATTATTATGTATGCATAATTAATTTTTAAAAAGTCAAAGAAAAAGAAGTGATGAGAAAAGTATCAGCTAACATGTTGAGAGATTAATTTATGTATCATCTCCTTGCTTAAGAGCTTAGAAGTACTTGGAGGAGATGAAGTTATTTTTCCTCTCCCAACCCCCAAAATGTAGCTGTGTTTAGTTTTTTGAGTTATGAGGTCTTGGCCTCAAATCGTTGTTATCAACTCATGTAAGAGGTAAATGCAAGCCAAGCCTAGGAAGCGAGAATTTGGAAAGCATCTCACCATGCCAAGACGTAGTTAATACTAATTGCAGCAGGGATTATGAGTGCCCGGGTGCTGCAGGGCTTCAGGCATGGAGGAAACTCTGAGACCTTAAGAGAAGAAAGGGGAGCTTCTGCGACTCTTACTCAGAGTACCAATGCCTGCCAGACAGTGGGGTCCCATGCCTCATGCAG
Source organism: Homo sapiens (assembly GCF_000001405.40). Taxonomy (NCBI): domain Eukaryota; kingdom Metazoa; phylum Chordata; class Mammalia; order Primates; family Hominidae; genus Homo; species Homo sapiens. The sequence continues at coordinate 10,348,116 of NC_000010.11, read as the reverse complement.
CAATAATGAGAATATAGGACTCCAACCCTGCCCTGCTCATAGAAGCCCAGTATTCTTGCATTACACTATGGAAGAGATGGAGGTGACTTGACAGTGATGGAGACTGAATTTTTTTCTCAACCAGGGAAGTAGAGGCTTATCGTAGATTAAATTTGGCAGAAAAGAAAAAAAATACAATTATTTCAATGTGTACATGGTGAAATAATTTTACAGCAGATTAAATTTGGCAGAAAAGAAAGACAAATACAGTTATTTCATTGTGTATATGATGAAATAATTTTTATAATTATTATAGCATCCCTTTCATAGTTTTAAAAAGGCATAGACTATTTAAAAATGTTTTAACGTCGGGTACTCATTCTCTTGTAGTGGTGAAAGATTCCATGCTCCCATCCCCAAAAGTAATGAATAAAGAGTTAATTTAAAAAGATTAAGAGGGAGGAGAACATAAGGAACTGAATTATGAGTAGTTTAGATATGTCTTCTGTCAATAGGAATGAAAGCTTCAACTCCTAGGTGTTAAGGCAGGAAGAACAGTAGCAAATAAGAAAGAGAAATAACAATGGAAAACCCTACTGTGTGCCCGGCACTCTCCTAAGTGTAAGGGACAGAGACATGTGACCTCCATTTTTGTAGATGTGGAGACCCACATAGGGTTTTGAAAATTTGTCTCTCCTGTACAACTCATAAGCAGCAAAGGTGGGATTTATGGCAGTATGTTTTCTTACAAACTCTTGTTTTTTTTCTGTCATCCCATAATTGTCTCAGGTGCCTGGTGCTCCCCTGGGGGAGAAAGTTATGAGGAAACCCTAAGATACTTGAAGTGAGCTTACTGAAATTTTATGTCACCTGCCTGTTAGCAGGGAAATTCCAAATTTGAAAAGCGCTGAAAAAATCTTTCTAAACTTATACATTTTTAGCGATGAGACTTGAATTTTAGGGACAAGAGACATGAGTGATTGGAACAAAGCATCACCCAGAAGAGGCTCTGTGGTCCTGACGGCAGCCCCATGGCCAGGGGCGAGCTGTCTTGGGAAGAGTCCCACAGGGTTTCCAGCTCTCAGCTCCCGGCGCAGGCATTCATGCTGCTCACACATGTGGCTCCTTGCCTTCATTTGGATGATAGAAAAGGCTTTAATTTGTTGGGGCAAGGATAAATTACAGGGAGACAATCCAGCTGTTGTAAATTATACACATTCTTTCTATGTTGTCTCTTAAGCCACTTATATGGGAATAGGAAGTTCTATTATCCCTGTCAACCCAAAGTTTCCCTTGTTTTCTCTGAAACAGTGTCTTGGCCAAAGCAGCCATCAAACATGCCTTTCCCTGTTAGGAAATTTAACCAAAGATCAAACTGAAGCTGGACGTCTCACCAGTGCATCGGGAAACACAGGCCACATTTATTTGTCTTTTGCCCTTTTTCTTCCAGATTCCTTTCTGATAACATTTAACACATTAAGAAAAAAACAAGCAGGAAAGATGCAAATGTGAAAAATGCTGGCAAAGTAATTATAGTAGCTCTGGAAATACCCAGAGAGGCTGGGTAAAAATGTATAATGCTTATATATGAAGAAGCCAGGCAGCATTGCTAATTTTGGAACAGGACGTCTCTTTTCCTTGTTCTACTCCCTCAACCACAATAAGCAATATTTCCAGCAAGCAAGTCAGACACAACAATACATAAGCAGGTGAAATAAATAGAATGAAATGACATCGATGGTTTGGGCTTCGGAGGGCAGCAATATCCCTCTTCTAAATTTCCAAATATTCCGTGCTGCATCCAGAGTGTAAACCCGTGACTAACAAGATACTTCAGCAAACAAGAATCTGGTACTTCCATAAATAGGGAAGGATGCTGGAGAGGCATAGCTGTAATTGTCCTTCGGAAAGTCATATACCCCTCCTCTTTTTTCTTAAGTGTGTATTTTTCCTCAAAATCATTAAAAAGTTAAAGAATATTTCATGGCATAAGATATTGTCTTTTGTTTGAGACATATCCTTTGCTTCTTTCTTTTTTCTCTCTGCTTCTCTCTCTTTTTCCATAAAATATTGGACATCAGGGACACTGAGTTGAGTAAATAATTTTTCAGATCTCAGCTTGTTATCAGCATTATTTCGTTTCCTTCCTCTTTATTTCCAAATTCCTTTTATTTTCCTACCCTTCAAATGTATTGACTGTAATGCTTTAAATATATATGTGGCTTAAAAACAATCCTTCAAAATATGTGAGGTTTTTTTTTTTGGTGTGCTTTGCATTCATTTAAGTAGGAATGCACTATAGAGCTCACCCTTTTTTATAATTTTTTTTCAGTCAAAAAATTTTTTTAAATAAACAAACAACACAAAGGCCCATGTGTCTTGTGTCGTAGCCCGGGTTGTCCTGAAAGAGAGCCTGAGACAAAGGCTTCTATGCAGATGTGTATCTGGGAATGATCCCAGGGCGCTGGTGGGAGGAACAGAAAGATAAGCAAAGGAAGAGGCAAGGCTGGTCCGTGAGCCTGTTACCTCCACATCTACCTGTGACGGGCCTTTGAGTCCTCCAGACTTTCTTAGAAGCTGTACGAAATGCATCTCAGAATCTTCTGCCCATGGGATCAAAATGGAAGTGTTTATTTTTCTATGGGCTTTTGTTCTCCTTTGGCCAAGTGGGGTCCTTCAGGCACTGATCTCTCAGTACTTTGGGGATGCACCTGCATCATGCTGGGAGTTTTTCTGTAGACACTTCCTACCAGAGCTTCGAGAAGCCCCAGGGAGGAAACAGTTCTTGTTTTGTTTTGTTTGTATGGGCCAAGATTAGGAACTGTCCAGTAGCACCTGGGAACATTTCTTTGATGTGTGTGTGAAAGTGGTTGCCATGGCAGTGACTAAAGTTTTTCTAGGGATGGATCAAAAAAAAAAAAAAAACTGGGAGTAATAGTCAATGGGTGTCTGATACACTAGGCTACTACTGAATGTGTATCTGTTACTATTTGGACCACTTTATATTTCGTTGTTTGCATCTACCACATTTTGCTTACAAAGTTTCCTTAGACTGCTTGTAGCCCTGTGAACCCATAACTGTGGTGCGTGCCCTCCCACACAGTAATGCCCTTAGATACAGGTCCAGGTGTTCCTGTCCTGACATCCAGACTCCAGAACTTCCTAAGTCCTCCTATGGTGCCTGGGACCAACCAGGTCAGCAGTGTATCAAGGTTGGTGACCTGAGACTGGATCATAACCTACGTGGATCCCAGTTCCCCTTTCTTCCTTTTGAGGCTCTTTCTGACTCTCCATTTTGCCTGTGAGGTTGACCAGTTGTCCTGAAGAGCTCCTGTACTCATTCTTCCTGGGGCATGTGAACCCAGGTGCCTCTCCCCACTGCTGGCACCCAGAACGGTCTCTCCACCCGCCGTGGGCTCTGCATATCAGGTAGTGCTCCATGGTTGGCAATGCCAATCTCCTCCAAGGGCATTTGAGACCTTTATAAAGTATTGATCCAGAATTCTAACAGGCCTTTTCTCTTGCCTCTTGCCTACAATCAATAGGTTGACATCCTGCTCTGTGTGTCTGGTCTTAAGCAGTGACTGATGAAGGACAGACATGCCTTGAGAAAATGGTACTGGTCTTCTCACTCAGCCCATGGGCCCCTGGCCTCCTTCCACCGTGGGCAGTGTGTGGAAGACAGAGGTGTAGTCAACATCGAAAGAAATAACATCCTAGGAACACAGTGATTTGACTCAAAAAGATCAGGAGAAGGAATGATGTGTCATTCCATGCTTTTGTTCAACAACTTAACTTTAACATGAAAAGAGAACTAATTATCATTCATGTTGTCCTGCATAATATAAGACTTGAATTTGTGGACATTATCAATCCAGTAGAGTAAAACCTTTGATATAGCCATTGGATACCAGTATTCTTGGAGGAATGAATGCAAAACTAATGACATAGTGTTCTGAGTCATGATGTAACCAGCATTAAATAATTGAAATTTTGTAACCGCACAGGCAAGATCTATATTATTTCAATAAAATAGACCCCAAAGAGTCATGGAATTATAAATAATATCAATCATTTCCTTTTTCTCATAGCAGAAGATGTGAAATAGACTGAAATAGCATGTTTGACAATCATGAACACGAAGAGATAATTATTGGATCTGAACTAGAAGAGATGGTACCTAGACAGTATGACGAATGTTCACATGCACTAATTAGACAAAAAGGGAATATCTGAGAACTTCTTCTGTACTCATCATTCCAAACCGTCAATAATAAGCCACTGTCCTCATTTAGACACCTGATGTTTTAAATATATTTTCTGATCGGATTGAATACACAGATCAGAATTCTGCCAAAAATATTTGCTGGAGTCCCACATACCCTAAGAATAGTCTTGTTCATACACAGTTCTTTATGAAATTGTGAGAGATTTGTTCTGCTCCCTATTCAAGGAGATGGAGCGCTAAACAGTATCATAAACACAAATGTATTTAATTTACCTAAGCGCCAGTCTTTCTAGGAGTCTGCATCCTTTTTATCCCATCAACACTGCTTGTGGTTCTGGTTTCTCCACGTCTGCACCATTTTTATATTCTGATTTTCAAATTTTTATCAATCTAATGGGCTTAAAGTGATAATTCATTGTTTTCAGTTGAATGTTGTTGATCATTACTTCAGTAGCACTTCTCTTTTAATATTTCTAAGCCATTAGATTTCTCCTTCTGTAACTTGTATTATCATAACTTTTCCTGTGTGTCTACTGGTTAGCCTACCTTTTCCTGCTGCTATGAGAAGTTATATTAACCCCCTCTTCACTGCAGATATTGGAAACATTTTCAACCAGTTGATCACCTATTTGGTAACCTTTATTAAATATAAACCCTTAATTTAGATGCAGTAAAATCCATTCATTGATTACAGGCAGTCTTCCACCAAAATGTGTGCTCTTAACCACTAGCACCACATTATACAACCCAACATGTATTCATTTCCAGAAAGCAGTCATTGATATATTCACTACAGCTGACAATCCCTGTGAACAAACAGAAACTAAATTACTTGAGTGAACATTCTAATTGGGGGAACTTCTATTAGATATTCTGGACATCTGAATTCTATTAATCCCAAATATCCACAAACCTTTAGCATACTATCAAGATGAAATGATCTGTAAGCCTGTTTTACTCTGCCAGTGATCCATTTCTTGGGCTTCCTTTATTGGGAAAAAATTCTCAGCCATCTTTTGTGTTTCTGAATGTCTTGTATTGGGAGACAATTCTCGACCATCTTTCGTGTTTCTGAATGTCTTGTATTGGGAGACAATTCTCGACCGTCTTTCGTGTGTCTGAATGTCTTGTGAGCAGAGCTTTTTGTTGCAGACTGTCCTTTCAAAGATGGTTGTTTAGTGACTAATCTTGGAAGACAGAGATAGCCTCTCACTTCAGAGCAAAGAACAAACATGCTTACTGTCCACTGAAATTCGGGTAATCCAAACTCAGGACTCCTTTGCTCTAACGAAATTCACTATGGTGGTGGTGTCACCCAGCCCTTATCTCATTGACCTGTGGGAATTGGGGCTTGGGGAATGATGCAACTGTGGGGATAATCATGGTGTCCAACTTTGCCTAAGAGTTTCATATCTTCTGCTGGCATCCATGAAACTGTTGGAGGTAAACTTGTTGGTACATATGTAAGATACAATGTCACGTTTAAAGTTCTTGGCACTGCTAGTAGCAGTTATTTATCCAACTCTCAGCTGATAATTGTCTGTACTCCTTCTCTCATAACCTAACCCTTTCCCCAAAAACCTTTCTTTGGGTTTTCTTGGGTTTTCTAAGACTCATATTCTTACACCACTTTCTTCCTTCATATTTAGGGCATCACATACCCTTGGAGCTTTCCTTGATCTCCGTGGCTTTTGCTCTTTAAACATCTATGAAGTTCCTCTCCCACTAAACCTCTAAATGATTAGGCTCCCAGGGGTTAGATAGTAAATGATTTTTTTTTTCCTTTTTACTCTGCATTCTCCCTGTGGGAGATATCCTCATCCATAACCTTTTGTGTCATTATCATCAGTGCTCGATTTTACCAACTCTGTATCCCCGGAGATCTCTTTTGGGCTCCACACCCAAATAGCCTACTGTCTGCTTAACATTTTCATCTAAATATCTCAGAGGAACTAAAACTCAATACACCCAAAATAGAAGTAATAATTACTCCCCTCTAAACCTACTTCTGCAGGTTTTCTGTCTTGATAACTGACATTATCGTCCACCTAGTGATTTAAGCCAGAGGTTGGTATACCCACATTTAATCAAACATAATGCTCTGTTGATTCTATCTCTTAAATATCTTTGGAAGCAGAATGATTTCCTCCGTTGCCATGTCCCCACCTGATTCCAAGTAACCACCGCCTCTCTCCCACAGTATTACAGCAGTATACTCATGATCTTTCCGCCTCACTTCTGCTCCCTGCCAAACCATTTTCTATTCTAACCAGCATGACCTGTCAAAAGTGAAAAATCTATTCATTTAATCTCACAATCTAAAATCATTGGATGGCCTCCTTCCATATAATTTATAATAAAGTCCCACTACCTAAGTGAGGCTTGCAAAACCATGTATTTTTCTGGGCTAAACCTCAACTCATACGATTCTTTTCTGTCCACTCCCTGCATCTCTCCTCATAAACACTATGTCTGTCTTTTTTTCCTAAATGTTGTTTATTCTACCTTGAATCCCTTTCTCCCTGTGGTAGATTAAAGATGTCACTTTTTTGTTTTTGTTTCTTTCTTTTTAATCCCTTTTAGAGGCAGTTTATTTTCCATTTTCCTACAACTGTGCTGGCCATGTAATTACTTTAAACAAACTGAAGTAGTTCTGTATCTAAACCCTAAGAAAACCTGGTAACCTTTTTCTTTTTGTTTTGATCTGTCATCTAAGCAATCTGGCCACCTTTCTGGAGAGACTGCATGGAAAGGCCAGATGACGAGGAATAATTTGATCCTACTTGGACAGAAAAGCCCAGCCTGACAACTGACCACAGCTTTCAAGATATCTACCACCTGTAAGCGGTACACATCTTAGATATTCCAGCCTTGTTGAGATGCCCAGTGACCAAAGTACTAACTGACATTACACTGAACAGAAGTATTACCCACTGGAGCAGTCAACCACACAATCATGAAAGATAATAAAATGACTGTTTTGTTAAGCCACTAAGTTCTGAAGTGGTTTGTCAGGTAGTCACAGAGTTACCTTGTCAGAAGCCAAAAATTCTGTGACAATGATTAAGGCATTCTGTAAATCCAAAATCCACAGATGGTGATTTTGGAAAAAAAAAAAAAAAGTCTAGCAGGTGAGGCAAATCCATAACTAGAATAAATGACTACACTAGTGAGAGTAAAGAATTTTGCTTTCATGATGGAAGTAGTGCAGAATAATCATTCTGCCTGAGGTGGCTGGCTGGTGACCTCAGGGCATGGCACCGTATTGGAGGTTGACTTTTAGTCCTCGTAGTTGGCAAGTTATAGACACTCAGAAGAGTATCCATTTCACTTTTTTTTTTTTTTTTGAAATGGAGTTTTGCTCTTGTTGCCCAGGCTGGAATGCAATGGTGTGATCTCAGCTCAATGCAAATGCAACCTCTGCCTCCTGGGTTCAAGCAATTCTACTGCCTCAGCCTCCTGAGTAGCTGGGATTACAGGTGCCCACCATCATGCTGGGGTAATTTTTGTATTTTTAGTAGAGATGAGGTTTCACCATGTTGGCTAGGCTGGTCTCAAACTCCTGACCTCAGGTGATCCACCTGCCTCGGCCTCCCAAATTGCTGGGATTACAGGCGTGAGCCACCACGCCCAGCCCCATAACACTTTTGATGTGTCACAGTCTGTTTGCTGGGCTTCCCTGCCACCAACACCACTTTGTTCATGAGCTCATTGGGCACAGACAGGCGAGGCTGGGAAAAGGTTGGATTTTAGGAGGTACTGACCTGCTGCCACACAGTGGGGACAAGAAAGTATACGTCTGGAATTCAGAAATTGTCTAGGGTGCCTAAATTATTGCAAACCCATATGGTTTCAGAATATGTGGAAATGCACTAGTCCTCTTGCTAATAGTCTATTTTTTAAAACAAGATTAAGTTATATTTTCATCAAGAATGATGCATATGGTTAGACTCCAAAGGACTAATATCTCCAGAGAACCTCTGCCTTGAGAAGGGAATTAAACTTGAAAATTGAGTCCTGGAGCAACTACTTAGTAGCTGTGTTGGGTCTAATTTATGGGGGTTGATTAATTTTTAGTGGTTAAAGGAAAAAGTATATAGAGCATTAAATGGGAAGGAACTAGAATATGATTAAAAAATGAAAAGGCATGTGAACTGATGGGAATCTTTGTAGTAAAAAAAAAAGCAAAGATAAACAATGCAAATTGACCATAAATCAAGCACAGCTATGCAATAGGGGGTCTTACTGCCAAAATGTATGCAAGATCTAGGGACGTGGCTGCAATGCACATTCCTTTCCCTCCAATTCCTTTTTCCATTGGCTCTTAATCCCCTCTTCCATGAGTATGATGGAGTAATTGAGGGTATACAATTAACAAGCGATTATAAGCAGTATACTATTAATAAAGAGGAGACCTCAGAAAGTCTGATCCAATTTCAAGGAAAGAAGATGTTGAGCCTGTGTCATACAATAATCTCCTTCCTTGTTTTTGCAAGTCCAAAAGATAAAATAGCTGAAATACTTGTAAAATATCTCAATTTCTGTGTTCCACTTGTAATTCCAAGAAGGTCATGGCTCCCTAAATAAGACAATCCTGGAAGTAAAAAATGAACAACTTAATTTTTCAAGTCTGAGTTTCATCACACAGAATGTTAGGTTTATAATGATTTTCTAGTGGTGTTGATGAAGATGGAATGAGATCACATCTGAGTAGCATCTACCAGTGTCCAAGTGTTTTTTTAAGAAAAGTAAAGAGAGCAATTCAAAACAAGTATTTATTGAACATTTAGTGTGTGACTCTGTGATAATAAAGACATTAAACAGATTCCAATTTCATCACATTTTAAAAACTACTTAGTATAAAAAAGTAATCTGTGGCTTAATCAACTTGATAAATAATAATTGTATCCTGCTAACAAAGATCCTGTGAGTTGATGACGGTTTTCCCCCTACAAACACGTTGGCTGAGTCTGCGTATCTGTTGTAAAATAAGAAAAATAAACATCTGAGAACATGGTAGTTTAGTTAAATCTAGTAGATTTTTCAAAAGCCGGAACATCTCATTTAAATAAAACAAACATTTAACCTCCACATTAGACTTTTAAACAGGGCCCTAATGCATAAATTAAATTCCTAATTTGTTTTGGACATCATTAAAGTGTTCCGCTATAAACTGGAATACATACATTTGGGACGACTGGTTGTAGAGAATCCTTAAGATAGATTAGATAAATAAGAGATAAATAAGAGGGTTAGCTCATAGTCTAAATTCAGGCTTTCAACATTTTTTTATTTTTATTTTCGGAGTTTTGCCTGGGCAGGAAATGCTCTTACCCCTTTCATATGGAAATTATTTCCACAACACGCACCATCAATATTCATCAACTATCACACCAATTAACAAACCGTGAATAATCTGGAACAAAAATTTAATGCATGAAAACCCACAGACATCTAGGTGGCTGTTAATAAGGCTATGTTTGAGGTAATCGCACACAAATTTAATTTTAAATATGCTTCCCTTAAGGAAGGGGTATCAGTGTTAATTTAAGAATTTAATTTGTATGGTGTTTTAACAAAATGTCTTTCAAGGAATCTTTGCAAAAACATCACACCAACCAAACATTTATTTTTCTTTTACGAATGGAAACAGACTATTCCCTTTATATTGATATAACTATGGACCTCTTTTGTGGAATTAATATAACCCTATACCATCTTAGTAAAAAAAGTTGTCAAAGAAATTCTTTGAATGCATACTTTATAAAACATATAATTTTGAAATGAGTACTAAAAGAACATTTTTCATCTTTAAGCAATATTAAAGTTTAGTCCAGGTGCTTAGAGGTTGATCATTTCTGTAAATGAGCTCATACTGGGATTTTAAAATTTACACACATTCTAATTGGCTTTCTGAACTAGTGTTTTAAACTGGCAGCTTTTCATCCCAGAGAAATTTATATTATTTTTTGGTTTTGTTTTCTCTAAATTTGATGACAGAGAAAAAAAGGATGTCAACTGCTTCTGCATACACCACAAGATCACCAAGTTCTGGAAGAAGCACACAACTTTCTCTGCAGCAAGTAAGTAGCAGAATGGCAGAGTTCCCACCTGCCTGTTCCCCTACACTTACTAAGAATCCCCTGCCTTGGTAAAAGATTAAGGTAAAGCCAATAAAAGTTGAGGAGAGAGAATTATAACGATATAAGCTAAAATTAATTACACTGAAAATAAAGATATAGAAAGGATCAACAAGGAGGAAGCTGATCCCCGCAAAGACTAATAAAGTAGATAAATCTCTCACATGACAAATCAAAGATCAAAAGACAGCACAGATAAAGAATATTAGAAATGTAAAGGAGGATTAATTATAGCTGGGGTGGAAGTTTTAAATGTTACAAGAGAAAATTTATAAAACCCATATGACAACGTTTGAAAATAGAAAAAAAATGGTAATTTCCAAGAAAATATAATTGACTGAAGCATATTGAAAAAGAAGTAAAAAACCTGAACAGATGTATCAAGGTTAAAGAGATTTAATTAATAGTTAAATATTACCCTCCCCCAAAGGAAACAACTCAATAAATATTTCAGGCCCATATGACTTTTTAGGCATTTTCTATCAAGCATTTAAGGAAGGTATTATTCCAATAATATGCAAACTCTCTAGAGTGGAAAAAAAAGAACTACATTTTACAAATCTAATATAATTTTGTTAGCAAAATCAGGTAGCTAGAGTTTGAAAAACGAAAATTACAGTTCAGTGATACCATTCAGGAGCATGCAATTAAAAAACCCCAAATTAAAAAATATTGGTAATTCAAATCCAACAGTGTATATTTGGAAATATCAATTAGTTATTTTTAAATCTTATCAGAGGATGTCTTTTACCTAGGACTTTTAATCCATTTCATTTTATTTGACTTCTATAATTTATTAAATGTTTCTTATTTTCCTGATTTTTCCTTTTTTTTTTGTTCTTCCTTCCTTGAATTCTCTTCTGATTGAATATCTTTTCATTCTCATTCTCTTTTCCTTTTTTTTTTTTTTTTTTTGAGATGGAGTCTCACTGTTACGCTCAGGCTGAGGGGTGCAGTGGTGCAATCCTGGCTCACTGCAACCTCCCTCCAGTGTTCGAGTGATTCTCGTGCCTCAGCCTCCCAAAGTGCTGGGATTACTGGTATTAGCCACTGCACCTAGCCTGTTTTTCATTATTTGTCTGGCTTTTCTTGTTCCTTTTGTTTTTTAAGTTTTATTCTATTTTTAATTGACACACAATGATTGCACACACTTATGAGGTACAATGTGATGTTTCAATACAAGTATGTATTGTATGATGATGAAATCAATGTAACTAGGAAATTCATCACCTCTTATAATTTGTAGGGAGATCATTCAAAATCTTCTGTTCAAGCTTTTTTGAAATATAAAATACATTATTGTTAATTCTAGTCACCCTGTTTGTGTAATAGTTTCACCTTTTTTTTACTTTCATATTGATTGTACAAATATTCTTGTTTCATTTCTTTTTATGTATTTGGAAGTTAGAGACTATAATTTTGTACAATTTTTAACAAAGTCTAAGTTTTATCAACAGTATCCTTACTTCACTCCCAACTAGTACAAAAAGGCCTTAGAAAGCTTTGTCTACAATCAATTCTCTTCAATTCATATGCTATTGTGGTCCAGTATTTTAGATCTCTCCTGTTTCTCTTTTTCTAAATTTTTATTGTTTGACAGAGTCAATGTGCATTTTGATTTCTCTACAAATTTTCTAACACCTTTGTTGATTTTTCTTTTTGCATCTTAGACTTTCCATTTGAAATAATTTTCTTTGTGCCTGAAATTTTTTTTATGATCCCTTTGCAGAAGTTGAAGTTTTGCTAGTAGCAAATATCTTTCGGTCTTTGTTTGAAATTACCTATTTCACCTTCATAATTGAAAGATACTTTTGGAGGATGTAGAAATAAAGTTTCACAGTTATTTTCTCTTCCTCCATGGAAGATACTATTCCACTGTCTTCTATCCTCTGTTGCTGCTTTGTAGTCCCTTGCTAGTCTGATGTTGCTTCATTGTAGTTGATGTGTTCTATCTCTGTGGCTGTTTAACCTTTCTTCATCAGTGCCCTGCAGCTTCACTGATGTGGTTAGGTGTTAAGTATTTGGATTGCCTTCTTTTCATTTTTCTTCTTCTTCTTTCTTTCTTTTTTTTTTTTCTTTAGACCCTGCTTGGGGGATGGGTGTGCCTGTAATCTCAGCATTTTGGGAGGCTGAGGCGGGAGGATCACTTGAGCCCAGGAGTTCAAGACTAGCCTGGATAAGATAGCAAGATCCCCCCATCTGAAAACAAACAAACAAACAAACCCCCACCCCCCAAAAGAAAAACAAAAAAACAAAACCCTTCTGGGGTTTTGTTGAGATTTTAGGATTTGAAGATTGGTAAACATCAACAATTCTAGGTAAATTATTAGCTGCTATTTTTTAAATATTGTTTTGTCCCCATTCTCTTTTAAATTTCCATCTGGAACTCTGATATTCTTTTCATTTTTTTTCATCCTGACTTTTCTGTTCTTTAACCTCTTTTGATTGTATTTCTATCTCTTTGTTTTCTTTGACTTTTATAGGCTTACTCTTTTGGGTTATAACCTTCAGTTTACTAACTCTTTTGGTCTATGTATTTATCTGCTATTTAATCCAGCCATTGAGGGTTTATATTTTACTTTTGTAAAATTCCTGAAAGCTTCGTTTGGTCCTTTTAAAATATTTGCATAATCTTCTATAGATTTAACTTTTTTCAAAGTCTTATTTCCAGCCTCTCTTATGTTTTTAACTGTATAAGTGTTGTTTTTCAAAATATTCTGTTTCTGAAGGGTTCATTGGAATTTCTGGATACATTCTATGTATCTCTTTAGCTTTCTTTTATACTTTATGTTTAATTTATAGAAAATATGCTACATGATGGGAAAATGTTTTATTTGATATTCTAGTTCATTAATTTATTGGTTTTATTGCTGTTCCTTTTCAGCAATTCAACTCAACTGAGTTGTTTTGAAAACATGTTTAAATTCCCATATTTTACACAAATCTCAGAAGAATATTAGCTAAATTTATTTTGAAATATTTAGTTTGCAGTAAAAACATAGCTTCCTTGGTTGCCCATTTGTTACCTCTCTTTAATGTGTTTGCGTTTTTGATTCTTGGATACCAGGTTGTGTGTGTGAGAATCTGCCTCACCAGGTTTAGTAGAGGTTGGTTCTGACTACAAGAGCCTGTATATGGTGATGGGGGTGAAAGGCCTGTGTTGGGCTTTGATATGGTTTGGCTCTGTGTCCCCACCCAAATCTCATCTCAAATTGTAATCCCCTAGAGTCAAGGGAGGTACCTGGTGGGAGGTGATTGGATCATGGGGGCGGTTTCCCCCATTCTATTCTTATGATAGTGAGGAAGTTCTCACAAGACCTGATGGTTTTAAAAGTGGCAGTTTTCACTCATGCCCTCTCATCTACCACAAAGTAACACATGCGTTGCTTCCCTTTTGCTTTCCACCATGATTGTAAGTTTCCTAAGACCTCCTCAGCTATGTGGAACTGAGTCAATCAAAACTCTTTCCTGGCCGGGTGCAGTGGCTCATGACTATAATCCTAGCATTTTGGGAGGCCGAGATGGGCAGATCACGAGGTCAGGAGATGGAGAACCTCCTGGACAACATGGTGAAACCCTATCTCTACTAAAAATACAAAAATTAGCTGGGCGTGGTGGTGCATACCTGTAATCCCAGGTACTTGGGAGGCTGAGGCAGGAAAATCGCTTGAACCAGGGAGTTAGAGGTTGCAGTGAGCGAAGATCATGCCACTGCACTCCAGTCTGGCAACAGAGTGAGACTCCGTCTCAAAACAAAACAAAACAAAATAAAACAAAAAAACAAAACTCTTTTCTTTATAAATTACCCAGTCTCGGGTAGTATCTTTATAACAGTGTGAGAAGGGACTAATACAGACTTAATGGCTTCTCTTCCTTATCGGACTCCTGAGGGATCTCAGAGCACAGCTTGTCCTTTTGTCCTTGGTCATGTGTGGACACACTGGCATTGCCCCATGATCAGTCCAAATATGTCGAGGTTGGATAAATCAATAGCTTATTGTCCAACGGCATTTCTCCTTTTCATTTCCACATGCCTCCCTCCTGTCCCTGCTCTAGATCTGAGCTTTGAGCTTCCCTGAAATGGCTCTTAATCCACCAAGTGTTCTTCCTGAATGAGTTTTGGATTTTGGTTTTCTTCCTTTTTTCTTCTCTGTGATTCTGATCTCATTTCATTTCTACTTCTTAGGAAGTTCTCAGAAATTTTTTTCCACTGATATCTTCCCTTGGTTGCCAGTGAAGTTATGAGATTCTTTTCTAAGATTAACCTGACATTAAACTGAATTTCTGGTGGGAGGGGAAGTAAGATGCCTGTGTTCAGTTTAGCTTCTTTTTCTGATCTCATCCTCTGATGTTTTTCTATTTCTATTCTCTTGTGTGTTTAAATAAAATTATTGCTTTTATGACTCCCTAACATTTTTTTGAAATATGGCTACTCCATGGTTTAAACATTCCCTACAATGTGACACCTCAAATGTTTCACTAATGTAAATAACAATAGAGGGAACATACTCAGAGATACACATTTTTACATATCAATAATATTTCCATAGAAGCTTGCTGGGAGCAAAATTACTATGTAATACCTTTTTGAATAAGTACATTGTGACTTAATTTTAGAAAGGGTTGCTGCAACAGTGTCCAGTAGATGTCAAAGCTTAAGACAAATCTGTCTGGTATGCTCTGTCTCCCCTGAAGCGACACAAGAGGTTCAGTTTGGGGTGTTTCTGCTGTCAGCCTGTCTGTAATGCTGATTAGGAACAACTGACTGATTTCACACAAAGAAGAAAAAGTAACACTTCTGCCAGCTGTTTCGAAAACAGTCATGTGCTATATATAAGTAAAGAGTAAAAGGAGGTGACATCACTTCTATTTTTATATCTGATTCTAAAGCTATTTTTGCATATATAACTAGGACAATATATAATTATTATGTATTATATATATGTTTTATATATATACATATACACCTCTATCAAGCTTTATCTAACAACACATGTGTATATGTATGTGTGTGTGTGTATACTGAATGTTTGTGCCCACCCAAAATACATATGTTAAACTCCTACCCCACCATGTGATGGTATTTGGAGATGGGGTCTTTGGGAAGTGATTAGGATTAAACAAGGTCACCAGGTCAGGACCCCAGCCTGAAGGGATTTGTGTCCTTATAAGAAGAGTCAGCATAGACCTCACCTTCCCTATCTGAGCCTGTGAGCACACACTAGGAAGAAGGCGGTCGTCTACAAGCCAGGAAGAAAGCCCTCTTCAGAACCCAACCACTCTGCACCCTGACCTTGGATGTCTGGCCTTCAGATATGTGAGAAATACATTTATGTTGTTTAAGCCCTATAGTCTATAATATTTTGTCATGGCATCCTGAGAAGGCTAATACAGTGTGTGTACACACAAATACATACCTTTTTTTTCTGTGAACCAAAATGAAAATCTTCACAGATGCAACCTAAGAAATTTTCATCCAAACATTTAACATTACAGTTCAAGGATTCTCTTCTTCAGACCTCTAAGAAAGCTTTAGAAAAACAGTCTGACTCTTCTTGATTCAGATTCTGACCCTTTGTAGCACCAGTATTTCTAGGTGACTATCAGATAGTTTAGGCTTCATGCTACTCTTCATATTGAATCCTGATTTCTGATGGGGCCCCTAAGGGTAACTTCACATTTCTTTTGTTCTATTTTCTGGTAGCATTACCAGAAGTCCCAGAATTTTGGTCAGGTAATATAATAGTTTCTGTCCTTGTCCAATGAGTATCCTATTAAGAGATTTTTGGCTTATATGGAAGGTTTCCACACCTGTGGCCAGCCTTTCTTCACTATTTTCAAAAAGCCTTTTTTTTTTTTTTAACTGCAAAGAATGAAATAAATAGGTCTGTAGGTATAATGATACCTCCAATGATTGTGTTATATAAATGTCATGTTAAATGAGGATTTAAAAAAAATATTCCATGAGGATAATTTTCTAAGATAAAAATCACAAGTACAGAAGTATAGCTGACAATGGGGCAGAAGATTAAGTATAGATTTTGGAGCACAGCTGGACTCCTGTATTTGAAACGTACTAGTTGTATGACTTTAATAGAGATACCTAATTTTCCTGACTTTAATTGTGAGGTCTTAGAATGGCATAATAATACCATTCCTTAGGATGGTTAGGAAGATAAATATACTTTATGTAAAGTCCCTATTTGATTCTTGGCCCATAACTGTCCTAAATGGCAATATTCTAGTGGTTATTTTTATTGTTATTGCTTCTGTTAATATTTTCACCTTTGTTTCCTTCTCTACCTTCAGCCCTTGCAAAATATTACACTAAATCTTATTTCTACTGCTCACTGCTCTGAGCATCATGAATTGCATAAGGTTTTCAGTCATACAGAAATAAACCACTTTCTTGAATCTTCCACACTCTGACCATGTGATTATGAAAAATCTCTTTAGCCTCTCTGTACCCCAGTTTCTTCATCTGTAAAAAGAGAACAGTAACACTTATTTTATAAGTGTTTAATCCATGAGGATTAAATATAATTATGTATATAAATGTATATAAAGCACTGGGGATAGTACTTTTACTTTCAAAGTGAAAGATTATAATACATTTTGGTCTCTATTAGTATTACTGAATATTATTAATTCTTTGATACATTTCCCCACCCCCCACCCCCCACAAAAAGGCCAAGCAAGAGTCTCTGGGGAAACCCATCTAATATATTTAAATTTCACTTGGTTTGTTCCATACCCATTCATATCACAAGATTCCCTTTCCTATACCCAAACCCCAAATTATTTCCTTTCTTTGCTTTACAGGAAGAGCTATTATAGAGAACAAGTTGAACAAATACTGCAACTAGAAAAGGCTGTTTAAATGAGCAACCTCAACTGATTTTTTGAAAATGATGCTAAATAACCCATTGTACCCAAAAAGGGAAAAGCAAACAGATAAAATCACAACCTACACCGTGAAAAATATCCCAAAGTGAAAAAGCAGTTATATAAACAGCTAGTGAAAAACGTAAGTACTATAAGTACATACATAATTTCATCATCCACTGTTTCACCATTAGATGTATTCTCTTTCAGGCATCTGTCCAAGACAAAGCCACAGTGAGCCTCTTAAATTACTTACGGCTCTTAAAAACACACACTTCGGGTTGCAATTTTTAAAGTATTTAAATTTTATTTAAATGTGTTTAAAGACACTTTTATGTCCCTGGATTTGGAAGGAGTTAGCATATTTCCCGTTACCATACCAGTCTTCAACATGTTAAGGACTGTACTGAATGCTAATTAAACCCAGAAAATATGTAGGAAAAAATTGAAATTCTCAGCTCATTGAAACCACACATTGTAAGGTATTCTAAGAGATAATGAAGGTCTGGCAGGTGGCAGTGAAAAATTAACTAATGGGGATATTTATTTTTGATTCATTTTCAACATCTTGTTTCTGAGGACTCTGTGTTTATGAATATACCCAGGAAGCTTTATGATTTCATCTCTAAGGCTAGATTACATAAGTTTTGATTGAACCATCATACTTTAGATCATGAGACCTTAGAAACTGTTCCTTATAATTCCAGAGGATACTCTAGTAATAATGCTTATATACAGCAAATCTGTTCCATCTTTTCCTTTATATAATCTGACCTCAATGCTTTGCATATTTTTCATTTGTAATAAAGCAATTTTAAAACTTGTTTATATGCTCTTTTATTTTTAATTGCTTTAAAAAATCCAAGGGAGTAAATTGGTGTTGTCTTTTGGCGAGAAACCTGGTTGATAGCATAAAACTATTTGGAGATAGTAGACTGCATGTTATATTTTCTTCAGTAATCTATGTAAAAGGGACATTGATGAGAATTATGTGTTATCAAGAGCGGCCTCCTTAGAAGACTTGTTTACCAAAAGAATTCTCTCCTGATTGCAGTAGATCACCAAGAGGAAATCAAGTCTACAGGCACAGTTGTATATTTTTCTACTTTTCAGCTGGAAACAAGGGATGCAACGACTTTTTTTTCTCATCAGGGAATGGAAAGAAAGCAGATATGGAATACAAGAGAAGGGTACAAGAAGCAGGAAACTGAACATACATCCCTTGCTAAATAGAAACACAGAATGACTCCAGAGATAACTAGAAATGCCAAGGATGCAAAGTAATGGTAATGTCTTTTTTTCTCCTGAAATGCACTGTTTATAATCTTTTGAAGCCTTAAATTGGTCAGAAAAAGAATGAACCTGGTAGAGTAAGACAAAGGGTACACAGTCAGCAAGCTCAGAGCCTTCAAGAACATCATAAGGAAGTCTTTGATGATCCTTGAGGATGGTAATAAAGACACAAATTGTATTGCTTAACCTCCCATTTTCTGCTCAGCAACTGTGACTTTGCTTTTTAAATGACAGCACATTTTAATTAATGCATTATAATCAGTATACAAGAAATTTGGGCTTTCTCTGATATTCACACTTAGTCAAACACTTTACATTGTGCCTCTTCAAAGCCAAAGCCTCACTTCCTGGTGGTAAAATTCTGATTGTAAGCAGAGTATCTAAGCCAAAAGATAAATTGCCTACAAAACTCAACATACTGAGATATGTCACTTCTGGGTAGAGATGATGAATTGAACACTGGCATTTACTTAAAATACTTTCATTATCCACTAAAACCTACAATAGTATCCACAATGAGGACTTTTTTTTTGGTAAGTCTTAAGCCCCAAATGGTCCCTGGAATTATGTGCCTGTCAAATAGAAAACTTTGGGAAACCAAGTGGCTTCTTCAAAAGACTCATGGTGGGAATATCGCTATTGGCACTATGGAGTATGCTACCTATTTTGATTACATTAGAGAATTGGTAGAATACAAATAAACACCTCCAGTACAGTTAAGAGCAGCTAAGAAAGGGAATTCTATGATTACCATAAAATAATATCTTTATTTTATGAATCAATTTGATTTCTCACCCTTATCAATTTCTTATGTGAGTGTTAGATCATTAATAGAAAAGGAATGATTCCCTGAGAATTGGAATGAAGAAATTTGGGTGGATTCAGATGAATCTGAGTATCTGAACCTCCCCATAAATTCCTTTAAGACTTCCTCACCAGCAAATACTTCTCCTCAACCCCTCTCTGAGGAAGCTAGCTTCTTCTAGCTTGAGGATACTGTAACAACCTTACGTTGCAAGGGATGCTTATATTCAAAAGATCCACGCAGCCTCCAGACCCATAGTACATTCTGGTCCAACCTAACCAAGGGAAATGAGTACTAAGTCTGACATGAGAGGGATCAGTTTATACTCTGAAATAATTGCAAAATGTGGTTAGCTTGTATCAGCAGAAATTAAGATACATGAGTAGAAATGGAATATAAGTGTATTTGTCCATGGTGGAAGGAAAATAATTTTGGAAGGGCCAAATATATCAATATGGTTGTCCTCATGAGAGATTCTGAATTCCATATGTTAGCTTAAGCAACTGGGAAGTGCTCTCATGATTTGCTCACGAAACCGGGACTCTGTGTTAGTCTACATCAAAGGAAGCTGAGATGTCGTATTTCCTTGTTATAATGTAGAAGGATAAATCTAAAGGCTTAGGGAAACAGGAATGTTGGAGTAGATTTATAATGTGTGAGTGACTCACCCACCTCCTCATTGTGTGTCCTAGGAGAGCTCACAGGACATTCTTTCCAAAGAAGCATGAAGGAGTATTTTGGTGAGGGAAGCATCACCACCTTGGAGACACCCTCTGCAGGATGGAAGGATAGTGGGTTCTCTCGGGAAAACAACCTGCTATGCTGTCATGAATGTATACTGTTAATCCTCCTTCTATCCTTTCTCAAAGGGAGCTGAAGTCATCAGGTAGAGAAACTGTGCCTTTCAGAAAAGGATGTAGGCTATTTGTGATGACTGACTCCTGACTCTGAGCCGACACAAATCCTGAGGGAGTCAAGTTGCCTTGAAATCCAGCAGTCACAGTGGGGACATAGCAGAGCTGGGTAATAAACAGGTTTCTGGCCTGACTCTGTTGCCTGGTGTATCCAGTGGGTCCACAAATGTATCTGGATTTCATTTCCCACTTTTGCATATGCCATTAGGAGAGACAGACTTGACAAGCGGCAGAATGCCCTTGTTAGATAATAGGCCCATACCCTTTTCTAAAACTGCCTGGAAATGTTCACGATCTGTGTTCAATTGAGTTCACAATCACCTTTCTTGTTTTCAAAAGGAAACCATACCTTTCGCCCATTCCAAATGTGATTAGAGCATACTTAACTGGCTTATAAAATTTTGAACACCCAAGAAGTTGTATCTGTGGACACTGTTTAGGTGGGGAAAAGCTTCAGGATCCTCTAGGTCTTTTTGTCTTCCTCCATCTTGCAAATATTCCTAATGGGAGTGAAGCTAAGCACATGTTAAATATTCTGAATTTTGAACAACTGAAGCAGTAGAGTGACACTGATTTTTCTAAATATAATTAAAATGCTCTCATGGGCTACAGGGTTTTTTCTCCCCCAGTTTCTCTTCATATTGCAGAAAAACAACAAACAAATTTTAATGTAATTTCTTTCAAATTGAGTGTGCATGATTCAATAAACACTAAGACCTAGTTAACACATTGTGTCACAGATATTCCAATTATGAATCCATCATTATATACTATCTCTTAAGAAAAAAATAACTTGTAAGGCTATATTTGAAAAATTTAAAGATGTGTGAGAACATACATAGTTTTCTAGAATTCCAGGACTGAGTAAGCAAGCAGAACTTTTGCTACTTCAGATCATATCGCAGGGAGTATCAGTACACGGTAGACTGAAACGCACACAGGACAGGACATCAAATTCGAAATTCACTCCCCAGTCTGGTCATTATGGATTCAGTGACTTCAGTACACTGCCTGCACTAATATCAAAGGCAATGATGTGTTAAAATATTAAGTTTTTTTAAATAAAAAAATTAACCTTTTCACCTCTAGCTAATTATAAATGAGATGATTCGGAGCACGTGGGAAGAGCTGGGAGTGGGGAAATTGAGGTGGAGAAGCTGGTGGGAGTGTGAGTGCAAGGGGTGAGTGGCCATGCCCCACGTGTGGATGGAATTGACCGAAGGACATAGTGCCCAGTTACAGTTTTGGGACAGGAAACTTTTTCAGCTTTCTCCAAAGCACAGAGAAAGGGCGAAGATTAGTCAGAGGATTACAAGGAGGTGACATTTGTTCATTGTTTTGTGACGTAATTTAAGTCAAAAGGGCATAAAACTATTATGTGTCCGGCACTGAAATATGCTCTGAATATGTACAGTTTCAATTTATGCTCAGATCAGCCCACTAAGTTTCATTCTCTTTTAATCTTTGTAACTGGAGAAGCTAAGATCTAAGACATCCACACATATCCAATTAGCAAATGGTTGAGCTGGGACTCAACGCCAGGCGGTCCTGCCTCTAAATCTCAGGACTTCTTTCCATCCACTTGGCTGTCTTCCAAATATAGTTCTCAGAAAAATGGTGACACACATCTGATATAAAACCACAGTTTACTTTAGTCCCTACAGAGATGGGCGTAGAGCTCACTTTTTATCTGGTGACATCAATTTAAAAGGAAGTTACAAAATGGCAAAAAACTAAAGCCTGACTTTTCACATTAAGTGAACTGGCTTTTATCTGGTCATTATGTATACACAGAGAATCAGAACTAATATATCTCTTTTTAAAACCTGATATTAACGTAGCAAAATAGAATATATCAAACCATATTCATAATCTGCTGCATAAAACATAGCCCAAACAAAAGCAACAATCAGGGATCATATGTATAAAAAGAAAACATCCTTTTTGACCAATATATTAGAAGCAAAGCACATTGGGAACAAGGGAAATTTTTACTTACGTTTTGAGCCTGACAGTATACGAACTTATTTTCATAAGCTCTTGAATTTGAAATAATAAATGAAAAAAATCTCAGTAGAACAGGTGCATCTGACTGTTGGGAAACTGCCATCCCTAAAGAGAGGAAAGCCACTGTCAGAAGATGCTGAGGTTAACAATAGATTCATAATTGTGGTCCTATTTTGCATTTTGTCAGCAAGTGCATATGTATACTAGTGGTAGTGCTGAGGGGTTTTGAGCTTAGGTGCCAAGATTTCAAACGTTAAACTTTCAGATTGTCCACTTAGGTAAAGAAATGGAAGAGGGGAGATGGAGGCAAGAGGCTTATAGATTGATTAATGCAGGTTTCAGATTTGTAGAGGGAGAAAGCTTACATATTTTCTCGCTAGGTTAGGATAATTTATAGATAAAATTTTGATAGCTTTTATGAATTTAAGAATTGACCTGTTTTTAAAGTAACAAGTTTTCTTAAAAATACTTAGTTTGACTCAATGAGAACTCCTGCCCATCAGATTCAGGAGAAAAAAGTATAGAATTGCCTTGGATGATTTCAAAAGTTATAGGTTATTTCCTACCACGTGTTCACAGTGTGAATAAAAGAAAGCTTTGGAATGTGAAAAATGAACCATATATAATTACTGTATCTTCCTGTGGAGTTTATCTTCCTTTCCAGCTTCATTGGAAAGTTTGTGAATACTTTTAGATTGACAGAAAAAGTAAGAAGATAGTACAGAGAGTTTCCAAACACTTTGCACACAGTTATCCCCATTACTAATGGAAAAAGGAAAATATCTTGGGTCCCCAAATCACTAAGCTAAAGGGAAAAGTCAAGCTGGGAACTGCTTAGGGAAAACCTGCCTCTCATTCTTTTCAAAGTCATCTCTCTGCTCACTGAGATAAATGCATATCTGATTACCTCTTTTGGAAAGGCTAATGAGAAACTCAAAAGAATGCAACTATTTGTCTCTCACCCATCTGTGATCTGGAAGCCGCCTCCCCACTTCCAGTTGTCCTACTTTTTCTTCTAGTTGTTCTGCCTTTCCAGACTGAACCAATGTTCATTTTACATATGTTGATTGATGTCTCATGTCTCCTTAAAATGTACAAAACCAAGCTGGGTGCTCTGACCACCTTGGGTGCATGTCATCAGGACCTCCTGAGGCTGTGTGCTGGGTGCATGTCCTCAACCTTGGCAAAATAAACTTTCTAAATTAACTGAGACCTGTCTCAAATTTTCGGGGTTTATACTAACATCCTACATCAGTATGGTTCATTTGTTATAATTAACAAACCAATATTGATACATTGTTATTAACCAAAGTTCACAGTTTATTAAGATTCCCTTAGTTTTTATCTAAAGTTTTTTTCTCTTCCAGGATCCCGTCCAGAAGATCACGTTACATGTCATGTCTCCTTAGCGCTTTTCTGGGCTGTGACAATTTCTCAGACTTTTCTTATATTTGATGACTTAGAGAGTTTTGAGGCGTTCTGGACAACTATTTTGTGATATGTTTTTCTATCGGAATCTGTTTGATCTTTTCTCGTAATTAGACTGGGATATGGGTTACTGGGAGAAAGATCTCAAAGATAAAGTTGTCACTTTCATCCTATCACATCAAAGCTATATACCACTACCATCACAAATCATTGTTCAGGTTTACCTTGATCACCTGGCTGAGGTTGTGTTTGTCAGATTTCTTCACTGGAAAGTTACTCGATGTTCCCCTTCTCTATTCTATACACTTTGGAAGGAAGTCACTGTGCACAACCCACACCTGAAGAGTGAGGATTTCTTCCAGGGCCATACCACCCTGAACGCACCCAATCTCCTCTGAAGAGTGATGATTTAATCTAGGGCCATACCACCCTGAATGCGCCCAATCTCGTCTGAAGAGTGAGGATTTACGTTTGCATCCTTACATGAAGGTAAGGGTGTCTACATTAATTATTTGAAATTCTTCTGCATATGAGATATTCTCTTCTCCTAAACTTCTTATTTAATCACTTACTTATATCAGTGTGGACTCTTGTATATTTATTTTATATTTTGGGTTATAGTCTAATGGTACTTGATTTATTTTATTGTTCGAATTGTCTCAACTTTGGCCATTGGGAGGTCTTTCCATTGACTTCTGGGTCCTTTGATGTACTCCCAATCACTCTGTGTGTGTATGTGTCTGTGTGTGTATGTGTGTGTATGTGTGTGCGTGATAAAACATTTCCTTACTTTCTGGAAGTACAACATGTTCGAGGGTCATCTTGTATAGTTTTAGGGCTAGCCATTGGGGGGTCTTTCCATTGGCTTCTGGGTCCTTTGATGTACTCCCCATCACTGTGAATATATGTGTCTGTGTGTATATGTGTGTGAGTGTGCATGTGTGATAAAACGTTTCCTTACTTTCTGGCAGTACAACATGTTCGAGGGTCATCTTGTATAGTTTTAGGGCTAGCCATTTCTATAAGGAGCACTGGTTCATTTCATTGGAGAATCAGAATTAGGAATCTGGGTTTGGGTGCTAGGACTTGGTTGCTACTGGGATGCCATTTCTAATGAGCTCTCTCAGCTGACAGCAAGAAAATACATGTGTGTATATTAATCCATGTATACCCAGAATCTATAAATATTTCTATCTGTAACCATCTGTATCTAAATTAAGCAAAACATGAGCACATCCTGTAGTCTCCAACTCTAATCCATTCCAATATGGATCATTCTAGCCTAGTTCCATTGTCTTTCTCTAAATTCCCACTCCCAAAATAAGAAACTTGCCTCCTACCATCCACCATCTACTTAACCTTTCAATTCCAGAATACATGTATGGCAGTGTCAGAATTGTTAACCAATTCCCCGGTACCGCCTTGGAAAACTACTTTATCAACTAACTATAGTGTAGTGCTTACACGCAGTTCTTTTGGCTTTAGTCTTACAGGTTTGTTACTTAGGTTGATGCTTTTCTCTCATGTCCCCGTAACTTATGTTGTTTCATACATTTGAAATACAATTAGATTCTCTCATGACAGTCTGAATTCCTTCTTGGAATGCCCAAACCTCCTATTTTTAAAATGTGCATGTATTAAGGTTTACTCTTTGTGCTAGAAAGTTCTATTGATTTTGACAAAGTATAATGTTATGTGTTAACCATTCCATTATCTCACCAAATAGTTTTACTGCCCTAAAAATTCCCTGTGCAGTCCTTACCTCTGTTCTCCAAAGCCCTGAAAAACCATTGATTTTATATTGTCTGTATAGTTTTCTCTTTCCCAGAGTGTCATGTCCTCGGAATTATACAGTAAGTAGCCTTTTCAAAATGGCTTTTTTACAACTTAGCAATATGGATTTAAGACTAATTCTGGGCCGGGCACGGTGGCTCACGCCTGTAATCCCAGCACTTTGGGAGGCCGAAGTGGGAGGATCACAAGGTCAGAAAATCGAGACCATCCTAGCTAACACGGTGAAACCCCATCTCTACTAAAACTACAAAAAAATTACCTGGTCGTGGTGGCGGGCACCTGTAGTCCCAGCTACTCAGGAGGCTGAGGCAGGAGAATGGCGTGAACCTGGGAGGCGGAGCTTGCAGTGAGCCGAGATCGCGCCACTGCACCCCACCCTGAGTGACAGAGCGAGACTCCATCTCAAAAAAAAAAAAAAAAAAAAAAGACTAATTCTTTTCTTCTGTGGAATTGTAGCTCATTTCTTTCTTTCTCTCTTTTTTTTTTTGTACTGCAGAATACTATTTTATCGAAGAAGTATACTCTACTTTGTGTATCCATTCACCTATTGAAGACAATCATGTTTGCGTCTGGTTTTGTCCATTATGAATATGAATGCCATAAGCATTCATTTTTAGAGTTTTGATGTGGAAGTAAGTTTTCCACTGAATGGTATAAATACCTAGAAATGTGATTGCTGGATTTTTTGATAAGACTATGCTTACCTTTGTAAGAAATGAACAAAACAAACAATTGTCTTTCAAAGCTGTTGCATTATTTTGCATTTCCACCAGCAATGAATGAGAGTTCTCACTCCATCTTCTCATCAGAAATCCATATTGTCAGTTATTTTATTTTTTCCATTCTAATCATTGCAGAGGTATCTCGTTTTTCTTTTAATTTGCAATTCCCTAATGACAAATGACGTTGAACATATTTTATATGCTAATTTGTTATCTGTGTATCTTCTTTGGTGGGGTGGTTTCTGCTCAGAACATTATCCATGTCTTAATGGCATCATTTGTTTTCTTATCATTTCGTTTTTTTAATTGTGATAAAAAACATATAAAACTACTCTCTTAACCATTCTAAGTGTACAGTTTAGTAGGATTAAGTTTAATCACACTGCTGTGCAACCAATCTCTAGAAACCTTTCCGTTGTGTAAAACTGAAACTCTATATTGTTTCAGTTGTTCTCATTAAACAATATAGTTGTTCTCTATATAGTTGTTCTCATTAAAGAACAACTTCCTACTTCTCCTTACCTCATCCCTGGCAACACCATTCTACTGTTTCTATGAATCTGACTACTTTAGATACTTCATATAAGTGGGTTCATACCATATTTTGTCTTTTTGTAATTGGCTTGCTACACTTAACATAATGCCCTTCATGTTCACACTTGCACGTATCAGAATGTCCTTCCTGTATAGGGCTGAGTCACATTCCATTGTGTGTACAGGCCACACTTTCTTTATCCGTTCTACTCTTGATGGATGCTTGGCTTACTTCCACCTTTTGGCTACTGTGAATCATGCTTCTGTGAACATGAGCGTGCAAGTATCTCTTCAAGTCCCTGTTTTCAATTATTTTGGGTATGTACTCAGAAGTGGATTTGCTGGATCATATGGTGATTCTGTTTTTAAATTTTGAAGAATCAGCATACTGTTTTCCATAACAGCTGCACAATTTTACATCCCCACCAACAATGCAAAAGGGTTCCTATTTCTCCACATTCTTGCCAACACTTATTTTCTGTTTTTTTTGTTTGGTGTAATAGTCATCCAAATGGGTGTGAAGTGACACCTTGCATTTGAATTGCATTTTTATAATGATTAGTAATGTGAGCATTTTTTATTTACTAATTATCCATTTGTATATCATCTTTGAAGAAAGGTCTGTTCAAGTACTTTACCCATTTTTTGATCGTATTATTTGACTTTTTTTCTTGTTGAAACATAGGAGTTCTTTATATATTGTAAACATTAGCCCCTTAGTAGATATGTGATTTGTAAATATTTTCTTCCATTCTCTATGTTGTTTTTTCACTCCATTGATTGTGTCCTTTGATGCAATTAAACGTCGATGAAGTCCAATTTGTCTACTTTTATTGCCTGTGCTTTTCGTGTCATATTCAAGAAATCTCTGTCAAATGCAATATCATGAAGCTTTTTCCTCATGTTTTCTTCCAAGGATTTTGTAGCTTTAGGTGTCTAGGTTTTTATCCATTTTGAGTTAACTTTTGAAAAGAATGTATTGTGTATATCTAAGGCATACAACATTACGGTATTGTTGATATGTAAGATGAACAAGTATAAAGATCAAATGTACAACACAAGGATCTATAGTCAATAATAATGTATGGCATTCAGTATGTTTTGATAAATGAGTAGATTTTAGCTGCTCTTGCCACAAGAGAAAATCAGTTAATTTTTATATATGGTGTAAGGTGAGGGTCCAACTTCATTATTTTTAATGTGAATATTTACTTTTCCCAACACCATTCATTGAGAGACTGTTCCTTCCCCTATTGAGTGGTCTTGGCTCCCTTGTCAAAAGTTATTTAGTTATATGTGAGAGTTTATTTCTGGGCTAATTTTTATTTATTTATTTATTTTTGAGATGGGTTCTTACTTTGTCACCCAGGCTGGAGTGCAATGGTGCAATCTCAGCACACTGCAACCTCTACCTCCCAGGCTCAGGCAATTCCCCCACTTCAGCCTCCCAAGTAGCTGGGACTATACTGGGCTCTCTATTTTATTCCATCCATCTATGTGTCTGTTGTTATGCCCATACTGCAATATTTTAATTATTACAGTAATCTTGTAATAAGTTTTTAAATGAGAAAGTGCAAATCTTCCAAGTTTGTTCTTCTTTTTCAAGATTGTTTTCACAATTTGGGGTCCCTTGAGATTCCATATGAATTTTAGAATTTTTTTTTATTTCTGCAAAAAACTTGCTGTTAGAATTTTGATGAAAATTGTATTAAATTTATAGATGGCTTTGAGTAGTATTGACTTTTTAGAAGTATTGTCTTCCAATCCATGAACATGAACTATCTCTCCATTAGTTTATCTCTTTCAGAAACGTTTTGTAGTTTTCAGTGTACAAGTCTTGAACCTCCTTGCCTAAGTTTATTCCTAAATATGGTACTTTATTCTTTTTGATGCTATTGTAAATTAAAATGTTTACTTAATTTTATTTTTAGATTGTTCATTTTCAGTATATAGAAATACTGATTTTTGGGTGTTTATTTTATATAGTGCAACCTTATTAAATTTTATTAGTTTCAATAGTTTTTCCTTTTGGTGAATCATTAGAGTTTTCTACATAAGGTCATGTTATCTGTGAACAGAGATAATTTTCCTTCTTTATTTTTTATTTTGCTGCCTTTTATTTCTTTTTCTTGCCTAACTGCTCCAGCTATTTTTGAGTTTTATGAGTGGTTTGTATATTTTGGATACAAGTCCTTTTTCAGATATTTTTTTCTACAAATATTTTCTCTTGGTCTGTGGCTTGTATTTTCATTCTCTTCACAGTGTATTTTTCAGAAATTTTAATTAAGCCCAACTTACAAATATTTTCCTTTATGGATCATGATTTTGGTATTCTATTTCAGAACTCATTGCCAAAGCCAAATTCAGCTAGATTTTCTCTTGTTTTCTTATAGAACTTTTACAATTTTGCATTTTGCTCTTAGGTCTATGATTCATTTTGAGTTAATTTTTGTGACAAATGTCAGATCTATTTCTAGAGTTCGTGCTTTTTGCATATGAATGTTCAATTGTCCCAGCATCACTTGTTGAAAAGACTACATTTTCTCCATTGAATTACCTTTGCTTGTTTGTCAAAGATCAGTTGATTACACTTGATTAGATCTATTTCTAGACTACCTACTATATACTATTGTTCTATACATCTATTCTTTTACTGGTTTTACACTATCTTGATTACTATGGGTATCTAGTAAGTCTTAAAGTTGGGTAGTGTCAGTTCTCTAACTTTTTCGTTAGTATTGTGTAAGCTATTCTGGGTCATTTGCCATATGATCGAAACTTTATAATCAGTTTGTCATTTTTTATGGTATAGCTTACTGGGATTTTTATTGGCTTTGCATTGAATCTACTATGCATGTAATTTTAAGGCTAAAATGTTCCTAATACGGCTTTCCTATGAAGCATTCTCATTCTACAGATGACTAAACCAAATATTAGAGAGGTTAAGTGATTTGCCCAAAGTTATGCAATTGATTCAAGTCAGATTTTTTATTTCTGATTTCCAGTCCACTCTTTTTCCACATTATACCACCTGTTTTCCCCTTCTGTGGACTCTGTGTTAATCTCTATGTATAAAATAATATTTCTACAGACTGTAGGACACAAAACACAGAACACAGAATTATCAATTGATTTTATGCAAAATCAATTAAGTCTAGCAAAATTTTACTAAATCTAGTAAAATTTTATGCAGTCTTAAAAAATGCAATGCATTATTTAGCTAAGTTATGCTGTCATAACAAATATACCCTATATTTCAGTGGTTTGAAACAAAGAATTATTTTGTTTTCTAACATTAGAAGTTTATCATAATTTATCTTTGACTTTTTATTCTTGGACCCAATCTAGATGAAGGAATAGTTTTTCTTTAAGGCACTGCTTGTATCTAAGAAGAAGAAAAACATAGTTTTAGAAACAATATGATGGCTTTTAAATTATCAGAAGTGTCACATATCTCTTCCATTTATATTTAATTGGCCAAAGCAAGTCATATGGCCAGTGTGACTTCAATGAAGTGAGAAATATGATGATGTTATAGGAATGGGCCTGGTGGGAAAGGATAGGGAATATTTTGACAACAACAAAATCTACCCAGATATTTTGCCCAGTGGTTAAGACCACAGACTGAAGGGACTGCCTAGTTTTAAATCTTTTTTCCACCAATAACCAGCTTTAAATCTTATTTCTACCAATAATCAGATTACTAAGCCTCTCTCTATATCAGTTTCCTCATAGGATAATTATATTCACTTGTTCTTAGGATTGCTCTAAAGATTATTGAGATTATACATAGAAAACACTTAACAATGTTTCCGCCATGTGGTA
Organism: Homo sapiens; assembly: GCF_000001405.40. NCBI lineage: Eukaryota > Metazoa > Chordata > Mammalia > Primates > Hominidae > Homo > Homo sapiens. The sequence continues at coordinate 10,317,562 of NC_000010.11, read as the reverse complement.
TACTATAGAAGTATTCATCATTATTTTTAGTCATAGTTGCTGAGTGAAGGCAATAACTTTTGTTCAGCTATTCATTCCTTAAACATTTGCTTAGTGCCTACTAATGGGCAGATGGCCATCCTTTGTTCTGTTGTCTAAAATATTTACCTGTCTCTCTCTTTAAAGTTATTAAGTTCACTTTAACAAATAGGATTTATTCTTAGGTGCAGATGTATGGAATATTAAAACAAAATACAGGGATGACTTGGCAACTGAGTCATATTGTTTTACTGCCAAACTTTCATAGATTTGTTTCACTGTTTATTAACTCAGAGTTTTCCTAAGTTGACAATGGAAAGATTCATTCATTGCATGCCTGCTCTTCGATAAACTGGATAGCAAGAGATGTTAACACCTTTGATGTTTTTATTGTTTATTGAGAGAGACAAAATATTCAAATGAAATGCAAAACATTTTAGGTGAGGCTAGGGGAGGAGCAGGGATAAATTCGATGTAGAGAGCTCTATATGAGTAAGATTCAGAGTGAAACTTGATGCCTCATTGCAACCTGGATAGACCTTCTTTTATTTAACAGATGGAACTACCTGATGCATTGAATACATGAGTTTGAGGCTACGCAGTTAGCAAAAACTCACATGGAGTTGAAAACAACAAACAATTTTAAATGCACTTGGTATAGTAAAAGTAAAACTTGCATTAACTTCTTTTCTTGTTTACAATGATTATTCATTCACTCTGCGTATTTCATATTAGCGCCATTAATTACTGGTGGGCTCCAATATGAGGTTGCTGAGTTGGCAGCTTGACATGCTAAGGAGCCCAGCACAGAGTAATACTGTACTCACTAATGGTAGAACTTAAAGAAATCCCATATTGTGGGGTCCCTGAAAACCATTTGTATCTGTATATCTAGGCCTTGGCAATTCCAAATGCAAGGCAGATATTAGTCCCTTCTTTCTCCTTCAGGTTGGAACTACCAAAGATGAAGTGAGCTTATACAGGACGTATTAAACCTCAGGTTCCCTACCCTCTTTGGAGCAGACAATAATTTGCTTCCTTATATCAAAATGCAGCCAACATCCTGGAAACAGAGACAGAGATCTGTCAAAGATGTTAACATGTCTTGTATGCCATAGAAAATGCACTGCCAATGATTGCAAAGTATTGCCCCAAATCAGGACCAGTTACATAATTTTTGGATCCTAGTGCAAACTGAAAATACAATACACATACTCTTGTAAATTAGTGAGAATTTCAAAATGGCGAAAGCAGAGCATTCTCTCATTCATGGGCCTCTTCTAGGTGGACCCTATGTGTTTGTAAAGATGACACCCCTGTGACAATGGCCCTGCTCATGCTATTCCCATCTCTACCTGAAGGTGGGATTCTTCAGTGTCTACAAGGTCCTTGGGAATGGAGGTGAATGGCAGAATTTTCCAGCAGTCCCTACAGTTCTGTCCAGGAAGCCACTATTTGAAACTTGGGTTTTAAGGAGTCATTGAGGACCTCTCTATAGAATCATGAAGAAGAAAGCAAGTGTAATTTCCAAAAAAGGGAGAGAATTAATTGGAAATTTTCTAGAGCATTCATCTTTTCTTCCCTTCTTAAAGCTTCTTGAAGGGGACAATAAACTAATTGCATGCCTAATGTAAGTAATTAAAATCTGTTGATTTCATCTTCTAATGAAAAGAAAAAAGTAGTTTAGTGGTGAAGTATTGGTCAGTATAGACAGAACTATGCTATAGAAACAGAAAGCCCCTACATTTCAATGGCTAGATACAGCAAAGACTCATTTCTCATTTACTCACTGTAGTTATAGGTGGCACTCCAGGACAACTACCATTTATGTGACAACTAGATTAGCTACTTATTTCAAAAAAGTATACAAAGGAAATCCATAATCTCTGTTCCTTATTAGAACACAGAGTAGGCACATGAGTGTCTTGCAGTTAAACACATCTTCATTGTCTCCATAGTGGTAAACTAGGTCCAGGGTACAATATTTGCTAGTAGATTTGGTGAATATAATTGTGTGTTTATTTTTATAACTGTGCCCTTTATAATTGTGTCTTTTCATTCCAGACAAAAGAAGGTTACCCTACTGCATTTTTATAGGAAAGGATACTTTCATTTCTTAAGGCAATAGGCAATAAATTTTGCATTAGAAAAACGCAACTACATCTCACATATTTTTTACATTCTGGAGAACCTACTCACTCTCTTTCTTTGCTCAACTACAATCAACACAGAAGCCGGATGATACATTTCATTTCAATCAAGAGTTTCATAGAGCCTCAGAGATACAAACAAGATGTATGGCTCTTTAGAAGCTATAGTGTATAGAAACAAAATTACTTCAAAAACTGTATTTTCTTGAAGGTAAATGCAAATCAAATAGGCCCTAATGTACTAAGCATTTACCTGGTGCCACTTGCCACAGCATCTTGAAATTTAATAAGATTATTTAGCATTATATGGTACTTTCTACTTGCTGTTTCTAAAAGTCACTCGTTCAGACATTTTTAATCTACTCCATGAACTCTGACAGACCAATCGAATCCATTTTACAGTTGAGGATACTGTTAAGATTTGACATTCCTGTAGAGTAATATGGAACCTAATACTTAGTCTAGTAAATTCAGTTTTCTGAGATACGCAGCCTCTGCATTTCCCACTAATGCTTATAAATAGGTTTGGGCAGAAACCCAAGACTTGGATAAACCTAAGCCTCAGCATTTATTTAGTTTAGCCAACTAGTAGCAGCATCTTATCTGATACCACCTCATCTTCTTCACTTGATGCCAGCTTGAAAAAAAAATCATATCTGCTGAGAGATGTGCACCCATTCATTGTTGTAGATTAGAAGTTTGGGAGTAGATAAAATAATTTGCAAATTATGCATAATTCACAAAGACCTGGCTCTCTCTCCACTCCTAAAGGTTGTGGCCTATCTGTGTGACTTGGCATCCTAGTGTAGCCAGATTCTATGGTTCATTGAGGTCAAGGCCATATTGATCCCAGCGTGAGACCATCGCATCCTTGCATTTCTTACAGTTTGCGCACATTACCACGGATATTCCATTGATAAATGTGCGATCTTTCATAGTTGATCCTGGACACATGCAGATCAGAAAAATTTATCACCAGGATTATCCTGTCACTATGGTTGAGGAAACAATTCAGTGTGAATGTGAATAGAAATCTTCACTTCCTCCAAGAAACATTTAAGTTCTTCGTAGAATTCTCTCTCCTCTCATTACCAGATTATAGTTCTTTTGTGCCTACATGTTAACTATTCTCACAGACTACTTTAGATATAGACTTTATTCCTGGGAGTCTGTGTCTCCCTTTCTCACATGTAAAGCACATAGGAGTCAAAGTCTCTGTGCCTTTACATACATTCACAAGTCCTAATATAAGACTTTGGCACAAAAACTTCCAATTCAGGTGTACTAAAAATAATACGTAAAATTTTAATGCTTCTCAAGATGTCTCCATTCTCTGTTATTGGTAGACCTATGTCTAAGTTATTTATATTAAAAATGATTTGAATGTATTACACAATTATTTATATGAAAATGCTTTTAGAGTAATTTTCTGACTTAATTTTTTTTTCCAAAAAACTCAATAAGAATTTTTACCAGTGCAGAAGAGAAACAAGAAAATCCAATATGTACTTAGAACTGGAGACTAAAAAATCATACTTCACTCAAGTTCCTTAGGACTCAATTTATGTCATCTCACTTAAGAATCTGCTGCAGTTATTCCTAGATAAAGTCAGATATTTCCTGCTTTGTTTCTCTCCTGGAGGACTTTGAACTCTGCTGGAATTATAGCATGTGGTATGCTCTGTGACATTTATTTATTTACATAACTGCTTCTAATAACAGAATGTAAATTCTTTGACAGGGAAACACTGCAGATTTTATCTCTGTAACCCTAGAGGCTTGTATAAAGCAGTGTGTACAATAATGCTGAATACATTTTATTGAGCATAAGTCATTTAAACTTTGGATATAAAAGATTGACACAGATATCTTCTAAAGCTACTTAAAGTCTACGACAGAACCGTCATACTGGAGAAACTACCACAGATTTTATGTAAGGCAACCATAAAATCTGCCAGTTTCCAAGTTTTTAGAATAGGGTGAGGAAACCTGATTAGGTTAAGAGACTAGAATTATGACATCTACCCCACGATTCCCAGTGGACTTCAAAGGAAGGTTTCTGTGCCAAATATATACCAATTCCAACACTGCCCTTTTACACTGAGTTCTCTTAGCAAGAATGCTTTGCATTTCTAATAGATGCATGGCTGAATGACATGGAATTTCCTGAAAACTGTGGGGTTATGTTGTAGATAATAGTGGAGTGGATGGTGATGGTACAAATATCACTGATGCAACTTCAAAAATGCCCCCAGTGAATCTTAAGAGGACTCTTCTTTATCTCTTTTTCCTCATCTTCTAATTTGGGCTGCAAGTGATATATTAAAAATTGAGCAAAGCTGCTTCTTAATTTTTTTCCCTCAT